>NC_000024.10:3639537-3939946 GCF_000001405.40 Homo sapiens | reverse complement strand
TATAAACCATTCTATCATAAAGACACATGCACACGTAAGTTCATTGTTACACTATTCACAATAGCAAAGACATAGAATCAACCTAAATGCCTATCAATGGTAGACTGGATAAAGGAAATGTAGTACATATATACCATGATATACTGTTCAGAAATAAAAACGCTTGAGACCATGCCTTTTACAGGAACATGGATGAAGCTGGAGGCCATTATTTATACCAAACTAATGCAGGAATAAAAAACCAAATACCACATGTTCTCACTTATAATTGGGAACTACATGATGAGAACACATGGACACATAAAGGGGAACAACACAGGCCGGGCACAGTGACTCGTGCCTGTAATCCCAGTACTTTGGGAGGTCAAGGAGGGTGGATCACGAGGTCAGGAGTTTGAGACCAGCCTGGCCAACATAGTGAAACCCTGACTCTATTAAAAATAGAAAAAATAGCCAGGCATGGTGGCACACACCTGTAGTCCCAGCTACTGGATAGGCTGAGGCAGGAGAATCGCTTGAACTCAGGAGGCAGAGGTTGTGGTGAGCCGAGATCGTACCACTGCACTCCAGCCTGGGCAACAGTGTGAGACTCTGTCTCAAAAAAAAAGGTGGGGGTGGGGAGCAATACATACTAGGGCCTACCAGAGGGTGAAGTGTGGGAGGAGAGAGAGAATCAGGAAAAATAACTAATGGCCACTAGGCTTACTACCTGGGTGACAAAATAATCTGTACAGCAAACCCCCATAATACAAGTTTACCTATATAACAAAACTGTACATGTACCCCTGAACATAAAAGTTAAAAAAAAGAAATTTATGTAAATTAATGTTGGACTAGAATCCATAGATGCCTTTTTAGGGCATGAGTAAAACATTTAACTCTTGTCATAGAACAGGAACATGAAGATGCTTAATATTTTGCCCAAAGTCAGCATTATTGAAATTTTGTCTTTATTTCATTAAGTGTTTATATTAATTTATATTGCTGCATAAGAAATAATCACATACTTTGTGGGTAAACACAGCGCACATTTATTTGCTCACAATTTGTGTGAATCGGGGTCTCAGCATTGTGTAGTAGGCACTCCCTTTAGGGTTCTGCAAAAGTGAAAATTATCATCTGGGAAAAGTTTACATCTGGAGACCTGAATTGGGAAAATCCACTTCCAAGCTCACTCAGGCTGTTGTCAGAATTCATTTCTTCACTTTTGTAGGAATAAGGGCTTCAGATTCTTGCTGATCATTCATAGCTATCCTTAGACGCTAGAGGCTTCCCATACTACCTAGAGGCTGTTCACGCTTCCTTGCCATGTGAGCCTTTCCAACATGACCACTTTCTTTATCAAGCTAGCAGGTCTGCTAGGAATATGGAGCCTAATGTAATGTGGTGAGTGAAATACCATCACTTTTGCCAAATTTTTTTGTTTAGAAGCAAGACATGGGTCCCATCCATATTCAAGGAGTAGGAATTACACTAGGATGTAAACACCAGAAGCCAGAGACCATGTAGGGCTACATTAGAGTCTGTTTGTCACACAGTTTATTTATTGGCAGAATATATACATAGGTAGCCTATCAGAAATTTGAATATATCAGATATTACTTTGGTGCTCAGTATATGCTACTTTTCCATTTCAAGAGTCTTAGGGAAACTATAGTCAGTGATGGCTGAATTTGATCCACTGGGCTTCTTTGGTTTTCTCTTTGGTTGCTATACAAAATAAATGTTTGCTTTTAAATTAAACAAAATTAGTATGACATTCCAGCTTTTAGCTTAAGGTTCTAGCCAAGTTCCTGATATATATGTATCACTAAAACACACACATACACATATTTGTATTTTATAGAATAATTGTAAATAAATAAAAAAATACTTTCCTCCATCACTTCCTGTTTTATATAAAATTTAGATTTTTGACAGGGCATTTATTTGCAAGGAAATGAGAAACTTTGTCAGTTCAAACTCAAGGATTTTAGTTTAAAATTTTACTGAAAAATGTATCAATTTTTATACTATGATGAGCACCAAGTAGATATGTATTGCTCTGATATAATTTCATATGTCCAATCCAATTTTGTAGATTCTTTTTGTCTGAAAGTTAGAGGTCAAAAATGGGGGAAAATAATAAGATCAAAAGGAATATAAAAGAGAAAGCTTTTTCTAAATAGAATAGTCTCATGTTGTAATTCAGAGGGTCATGTAATCAAGCAACACTAATTTATGTTTCAAGGATATGAAACAGAAAGGCCTAATAAATTATTTAAAGGAATCCTCCTGCTTCCATTGGTTATTGATTGAATATCTATTAACTAAGAGAAGATAGGATTTCATTACAGCCTTATCCTTAGACAAATTTGCACATCCTTAAATAATGTAATTTTAAAATAGGAAACAGATGAGTATTTTTTCAATGTGTTGATGTTTCAAAAGGTCACAAAAATATGAAAGAGTAAGTGTATTACATTTCTGTGATACCTGAGTTTCATATTTTTTTGCCCCATTTTTCTAAGGCCATTTATTCCCTCCTCTACTTACACCATCACAGTATCTGACATCAATCAATTATACAAAGTTTATTTTGGAAAGCAGAAGGGAAAGACAGAATTAAAATGCTCGTTTGTAATGAAATTACTTTATATGTTTATCTATCAAGTTAGTGGGTTGAGTAGCAGTTTGATTTTCTGCAATATTTTGATGTTTATAATTTAACTACATCTGAAATAAATATTGGGTAACGTAAAAAGTATTTTAATTAATCTAGCTTATTTAAACTATTTATATTTGTTTAGTATTATGCTGTAAAAAATTGTTAAATGTTAACTTTATCTGGAAAATCAGCATAGAAATGTAATATTGGTTAGTGAATGTTTCTTCTTCAGTTACTTGGAAAATACAGGTGAGAATAAAATGTATAAAATAATAAAATTTCAGTTACTTTTAAATCTCAAAGCTCTAGGTTAGTTGATTAGAGTTTCTTGTTAAGTGAGAATGAAACCTATATCCTCTTGTAATTCATCTTTTACTGCTAAAATTCTCTGTAAATATGATGGATTTCTTTTTTATTTTGATAATCACATATTATGCCTAAGGCCTATAATTAAAAATATCATTTAATGTTAAATAAGATTAACATGTACTAAGATTTGAGAGATGTGCAGCTTTCCGTGGATCATAGGACATATCCTGTGAGAGTCAATATATGCACAACAGTTGCCTCCAGAAACTATTTTTTTTTTTTTTTTTTTTTTTTTTTTTGAGACGGAGTTTCGCTCTGTCGCCCAGGCTGGAGTGCAGTGGCGGGATCTCCAGAAACTATTAATAAAACGTTGTGCTGTTTTATTAGTTTAATTTTTAATTTTAATTATTTTTAATTTTTATTTTTATTATTTTTGAGACAGAGTTTCACTCTGTCACCCAGGCTGAAATGTAGTGGCATGAACAGGACTCACTACAGCCCTGGCCTCCTGGGCTCAAGCGAGTTCTCCCACCTCAGCCTCCTAAGTAGCTGGGACCACGGGTACATTCTGCCATGCTCAGCTAATTTTCTTACTTTTTGTAGTGATAAAGCCTCGAACTCCTGGGCTCAAGCAGTCCTCCCTCTTTGGCATCCCAAAGTGCTGGTATTACAAGGATGAGCCACTGTGCCCAGCCCACAGAGTTTTAATTATACCTCCTTAGTATCTCTGATAAAGAATTCCTCAGCCGGCTGCGGTGGCTCAAGCCTGTAATCCCAGCACTTTGGGAGGCCGAGGCGGGCAGAACACAAGGTCAGGAGATCGAGACCATCCTGGCTAACGTGGTGAAACCCTGTCTCTACTAAAAATACAAAAAATTAGCCGGTCGTGGTGGCGGGCACCTATAGTCCCAGCTACTTGGGAGGCTGAGGGAGGAGGATGGCATGAACCTGGGAGGCGGAACTTTCAGTGAGCCGAGATGGCGCCACTGCATTCCAGCCTGGGCAACTGAGCAAGACTCTGTCTAAAAAAAACAGAATTCCTCAAAAGGCAAGGTAATTTGCATATTGTGTCAGACTACCTACAGTGATTACATTATACCATCACATAATAGACCTTTGCATATTTATTAATAAGGTATATTGGGAATAATATTTTCCCTCTAAAATTTTAGCTGCATACATATAATTATAAATATAAATCAATATGAATCCATAAGTGTTCTTTTGATAAGTGATAAGAATGTTATGAATCCATTATTTACTAATTTGAAACTTTCAAAAAGTCGATAACTGTCCAAATGTATATATTATAATACACTGACAGCCAATATATTACATTATCTGTATGTTCCCTTGTTTTCATTTACAATTTTTATTTCAATTGTTTGTAAAATTATCACATTGACAATAAAGCAGACCCCTTACTGCATGTTTTTCATTGAATGTGTAAGAAACAAATGGTAATATTTATATGAAAGGATAATGAGTAATCTACTTCATGCATTTCTGTATAGTTATCTTTTTAAAATATTAATTAATGATGGTTCTAATGTTGACACGTATCTCAGGATTATTTCAGGTTTAAAACAAATAAAGCCTGCCTTACTTTATATTGTTGACACGCATTTTGTCACATAATTTTTTTTATTCATCTTGTTATTTAATGCAACTCTAGGCTTTAAATAGATATTTCACTGAAGCAATCATTGTACTAAAGGAATTTTGTTTAGTAACTAGATTGTATACCCTTCTTGAATATTACACTGGTTAGTATAAATTAATTTGAAGTAATATTGCAGCATACTTTTAATGTGATTTTGTGGTAGGATGCAAAACAAATGATAATTGAATTATTTTATTTAAATGAGAGCAGAGCTTAACTTCTCGTCATGGACATGCTTTATATTTTTTAAACCAGAGGAAGTTAAAGTTTGAAACTCAGTACATATATATCTCTAATACTTTTTATAAATTGTAAGTTAGAACAATTGAAATATAGATGGCAAACCTTTTATAATTTGATTAAATCTAATAGTTATTTTATTTTATCTTTCATGCATTGAAAATCAGGCAGAAATCAAAGTAATATCCTTATGTAGATATTTCAGATCAAAGAAGACAGATCTTGTTATTCATAGTAGTAATATATGAATATAAAATACAGACTCATGATCAATAATAAGGGAAAAATATATGTAATACACACAAACATATACATACATGTGTATACATAATTGTACTTGAAAACCCAATATGTTTTACAAGTGATTGAAAGAAATAATTTTATTTTGAGACATCATAAAAAATTATATTCTTCACAATCTATCACTTTCTTGGAATGTATTTGTCATGATATAGAATTTTATACTGTTCAGCAGAGTTTTAATCTCAAGCCCCATTAGGTTTGTTTAAAAGATGAAGAGAATATATTTTTCAATTAGAAACCTGCATCGGTTTTTAAAAGGTGTCAAGCAATTCCACGATTCCAGTAGTTTAACTGAGCTGCTGAAATGGCTTGGTGTGGGGACTGTGTGTCAAGGGAGCGTAGACTACTTGGCATGTTCCTTTTCTATGTATTTTATGTATAACTATAAAGAATATGAAGGAAACAGCATAGTAGACTGATGAATTATACGCTGTGCTTGCTGTATAGTTGCATTATGTTATTTAATCAGACTTTATTTTTCACGGGAACCCTGTCATGAAGCATGAAGCTAGAGGTTTTTTTTAATGAAAAAAAAGTAAGATTCAGAGAACTTCAAATGTATTTTCCAAGTCTAAGTCTAATCTAACTCCAAAGCTTATAAGCAGCTCCTAGAGGATGTCTCTCCTAATGTAAAGTTAAAAATGACTGATGGGGTAAAATGTATTCGTCTTCAGAAAAGGACTTTTAGCAATAAAAATATGTAGCCTGAAGATACAGATCTTGAATAAACGAGGAAAAAACTTTAATACTGCCTATTGTTATTCTGCATTTTAATTATAACATTATTTAGATATGTAAATATAACAGAATTCTGTCCATTGTTTTCTAACTTTTATAAATGCTAGTTTTTGACTGCTTTTAGTGAAAGTTTTGGGACACAATACTATAATTGCTGAAATCATATTATATAATGATTTATTAAAGATTATGTTATATTTTGTTTACTGGCACATGAAGTTTTAATATTCTATGAGATGATTCAATTTTAGATTATTATTTGTTACAGAAGAAGACATTTTTATTTGAAATATATCCTTCCTTTTAACAAATAGCAGAAGAAATCAAATGCATCAAACACAAATCTTATGTAAGTTTCATCATATTAGACATATTTGTTTCATATGAAGTTAACCATTTAAATCTTTAAGTTTTTTATAAAATAATTTAAGTAGTGGTATTTTAAAGCAAAAGACTAAGTATGAGTATAGTCTATAAAGCAAGGAAGCATGATGACCGTTGTCTGTGTGTGTATTCATCAAGCTTGAATACTTACTGTGAAAAGAAGAGTAAAAGGATACTTCATAGAGGAATAATGTAATTGAAGGGAAAAAGAGTGAACTCTGAGCATGTACAGTTTGCTCTATGCCAAACCTTAAACCTCAGGGTCACAGGAATTTCTCCCCTGAAGAACGAAATCCAGCATTGCAATATCATGGGACGTGGAAAATCTCATGAGAAATTATGGCTTCTAGCTGAACTACCAGTTCTGTGCCCCTATCTAAGGGCAAACTTAATCATAATCTTGGAACCTACACTTTTTTCTACAACTGAATCTTCTACTCCATATTTAATCTTACTCTGACATTAGGTTCAATATCTCCATATTGACATTTTTATGACAAAATCTCTATAAACAGAGGGTGCTCCCATTCCTAGGATGATTCATTTTAGTGATTTCAAAGGATGTCTGTGGGGATGACTGTCAGTGTCTCTGCTCATTCTTCACCTACTCTTTGGGAAGACTCTTTTGAAACATCTTTGTTTTTTTCTGAAATCAAAACGATCATGATCATCTATATTCTCTTCTCATTATCAATATAAAAAATCTACTTGTTTATTTTAAAAATTACATATTGGGGGCATTCTTTTAATTATAGTTCTTTTTTGGCAAACTGTATAACAAGTTTTAAGAACATTTTGGGAATTTTTAAATTTTTTGGGAATAGACAAATTATCCTCAAATAGGAGTTTGTTAAAGAAATGTGCAAAATGCATATGATGGAACACGTTACGCTCATTTAAAATGATAATGGAGTTCTGTATAGACACAAAAGTTATCCATAAGTTTACTAAGAAAGAAGAAATAAACTCACAAAATCACCTACAGTAGAATCCATTTTTTAAAGTATTTTATAAGCAGATAAGAAATAAAAAAAATACTGCTAAATATTGTTGTTGATTGCCCCAGGGAAGTGATATTTTGAGTGATTTTTAGTTTCTTTTTCTTTTTTAACTTGACTATACATCTATTTTTTTCAGTGACCATATATTTTTATTTTTTGTTGTTATAAGGAAACACAACTCTCTGACTTGCATTGAATCAAGAAGTTTAATAATTGAAATTCAAAGATCATTAACCATTGTTTGCATCTTAACAGATTTATTTGAGTAGTTAATTACTCTAAGACTATATCCATGCAATGTGTCTTACTGTGGTCTGAATGGTAAGTAATAATTGTATTAATTAAATTGATTGATCATAAATCAAAGAATGAGTAATGAGTGGGATCACAAGTTCAGTTATTTTAGTAATTCAGTGGTAGACTAAATGGCATGCATAGTAACATGCTACATGGACACTTCCTCTCCTTTTCCATAAACCTGATAAATATCAATAATAAAAAAGTAAATGGATTTAACTGCAGAAATTCTATAATACCATTCATTCCAGTGTTATTCTCTGGTCTGGGGAAAATTCTGTGTGTGTGTGTGTGTGTGTGTGTGTGTGTGTGTTTGTGTGTGTGTGTGTGGCTATTGTGATGAATCACAGGTAATTTGCAAAGTATTAAATGTCTTTTTAAAACTCAATTAATTAATCACTGTTGATTAATCAATTAATGGAATCCTCTGTCCCAAGTTGTTTACTACTCTTCACCCTCTTTCCATTAGATTGGTTTCTGTATCATGAACTGCATAGTTGTCAAAATATTTTCTTCTAAAATATTATAAAAAAGGTAATTAGCATTTTCATTTTTAGACCAAATAAGCGTATCGGCTCTGACATAGCTGAGTAGCCTTTGAAAAATTTCATAAACAATAGCTAATAAGTTTTAAGGATAAGACAGCAAATTTAACAGAAGTATAAATAGAGTAACCAGTAGTAAGAAGTACACCCAGGATTATGAAAACTAAGAGGGAATATAGTTCTCGTAGAGAAATAAGAAATGAATTTTTAATTGCCTATTAATCATATTGGAACATAGGTTAATTGTTCAATGTTTATTGAGCGCAATGAAAGGTAAGGTACAGCTTTGCTGCCCAAAGATTTCCAGAGTAGTAACTCATATAACCCACTTATCATATTTCTTACAGGTAGTCTTTTTTATGTTTATGTTTCATTCTTCTTTGACTTCATTAAGCCAAGTTTCTCCTTGCTCTTATGTTAATCCTCTGTTTTTTTGCTATCTGTTGTATGTCTCGTCTACTTTTATTTCACATGTTATCTGAGCTAAGAATCAGCTCTGCTCTTTATGCTGCCTCCCCTCCATCACGTAGGCTTTTAATAAAATCATTTTTTGCCTTGTCTCTTGCTTTTTCCCTTCACTTAATTTTACCTTTTAAAGATCCCTGTATTAACACTAGCATAATCCATTGTTAGAGCAATGCAAGCTTTCATTGTCCTCCAATCAAAACGAACAATCAAACAAACAAGATGAAACAGAATAAGCTTAAAAGAAAATCAAAATTGCTTTTAGAACATTGCTGTCAGAAAGTCTTCATCTAATGGATACTTCTTGGTCCTAATACTAACTTCATTTTATAAACGACTTTCAGGGGGAAAAAACCCACAAGCATAAACCTTTGTGACCTTGGATTACACATTAGTTTCTCAGATATGATATCAAGTGCATAAGGACCAATAATACATAAACTAGACATCATCAAAGTTAAAAATTTTGAACTTCAAAGAATTCCTTCAAGAAAGTAAAAAGGCAACCCACCTAGTGAAAAAAGTTTTGCAAATCATATATATATAAAGGAACTTGTAGCTAGGACATATAATTCTTATAACTCTACAGTAAAAAGACAAAGAATCGAATAGACATTTACCCAAAGAAGATATAGGAAGGACAAATACACACATGAAAAGATGCTCAACATTAGTAGCTGTAAGGAAAATGAAAATCAAACCACAATGAGATACTACTTCAAACACACTGTGATGCTTGTCACTAAAAAGACAGATAATAACAAGTGTTGGCTAGGATGCAGAGAAATGGGATTTCTCATACATTACTGACAGGAATGTAAAATTGTTCAGCCCCTTTGGAAACAGTCTGGTCGTTCCTTAGGTAGTAACATATAATTCAGCAATTCCATTCCAAAGTGTATACCAAAAAGAAATTAAAACATTTTTCCACACAAAAGTCTTTATAAAATATTAATGGCTATATTATTTATATAAAAAATAGAAAACAGCCCAAATGTCCATCAAGTGATAAATGGACAAATAAAATATGGTATATTCATACAATATTTCTTAGTTCATTCAGGCTGCTATAATAAAATGCCTTAGACTTCTTAATTTATACACAACAGAAGTTTATTTCTCACAGTTCTGGAGACTGAGAAGTCCAAGTATAGGATATCAGCAGTGTCTGGTGAGGTCTTGCTTCCTCTTAGTGCCTTCAAGCTGTGTCTTCACATGGTGAAAAGGGCAAACAAGCTCCCTCAGGCCTCTCTTATTGGGGTACTAATCCCATTTATGAGGGCTCAGCCCTCATGATCTAATCACCTTCCAAAGGCCACACCTCTTAATGCTATCACCTTGGTGGTTAGTCTTCAGTGTATGTATTTTTTGGGGACACAAACATTCAGGCCATAGCACAATAGAATATTATTCAGCAATATGAGGGAAAGACATGCTGATATATGCTACAATGTGGATAATCCTTCAAAACATTATGCTAAGTGAAAGGGTAGCACAAGGGATCACATATTGTATGTTTCTACTTATGTGAACTATCTAAAATAGGTAAATATAGAGACAAAATATAGATTATTGTGTGCCTAAGAATAGGGTAGATGGAAAGATTTGGAGGATGATCACTAAAGGTTGCGTGGTTTCTTTTTGAGTTAATGAAATATTCTCTAGTTAGACAGTGGTAAAAGTTGTACAACTCTGCAAATGTACTAAAGGCCATTGAATTGTATAATATATGAATCATATCTCCACAAAGTTGCTATAAAACAAAACAGCTAAAACAGTTCAGTGTTGGTCCAAGTCTTCAATATTCACTACCCCTTCCCCTCTTTTCATAACTGACATGAATCAGCAACAAATCTATATAATATGAAGCACTAAAGAGTAATAGAGGCCAATAGAGAAGCTGGAAGCAAGAAAGTGGTGGATCATGCTAAGAAGAGATTATATTCCACTAGACCTCAAGCAACAACAAACGATATGTTTTTCTAACATGTACATTTACTGCAAGTTAGCAAACTCATTCAATGTTCAAGAAATGTCCCTTTGCCCACTATAACTGATCTCCCAGCTCCAAAATGACCTCAAGTCTCTTGATTACTTTATTCCACTCATTTACCATTCAAAACCACCCTTGGCTCTAAAGTCTCTAAGTTTCATATCCAGCCAAATCTTAGATATATCATATTAGTTATTCTCTTGCCATTCCTATTGACTGTCTTTTCTCAACATCATGTGCCTTAAGTCAATAATTCTCTATTAATACAACCATCAAATTCTCTTTTCCTACACCCTAGCTTCTGAGCACTTCTGGGCCCCTGTGACATCATAGTTTCCAATATTAAATGACTCTTTTGTGCTGTCATTCAGACTTACATGTGCTTGTACCATGCTTTCTTTCTCATTATTTATAATTGGTTTTCAAAATTTGTATTGTTTTCCTCATTCCACCACACTGAATGGCTTCAGATGATTTGTCACAAATGCACAGGAAATGTAGAGGCAATAGAGGAATATTTATCTTACATTTTTGTCCATTACTCTACAAACTAATCTCATGTACAGGTACCAACTTTTTGTTTTTTTAATTATATTTTTCTAGTCCAGGCATGAAGTCTTCACCAAATTTGGTTCCAACTCTTTACCTCCAACTTTTATTAATGACCCCATTTATATGCTAATCTTAAACTTCTTTTTTATTTTCTCTTTTCCTTAGTATATACATTTTCTTAGTTCTCCCATTAAAAAAAAAAAAACAAGCAAGGAAAACTTAGGCTTTCTCTATCTTGCCTGCAAAGTTTCTTACATTTTGAGCTAACGTTTATGACAGAATAGGTTGTATTCCTGCTCTATCTTTTCTTATTGCTTTGTTTATTCCTCTACCTTCTATTACTTCATTTATATATACATTCATATAGCCAATTTATATTTATTAACACCTGTTTTATTACAAGGAATGTTTCAGGTTCTGGAGATACATCAATGCATAACACTGATAAAGACATTGCCTTTCATGAGGCTTGCATTCTAGAGGGGTTAACAGACAATTTTATATATATATATATATAGCCATCTGATGGTAATTATGTGCAATACAGAAACTGAAGCAGGTTAAATGGATAAAGAATGCTAGAGGCCTGAAAGAAGTGAAGGTATTAGCCACTTGAAATTGGGGGTAAGCAATTTTCAGGCAAAAAGAGCAATGAATATAGACACTCTCCAGATTTGGCGTTTATTTTAGAAAAAGAGTAGCTAGATCAGAGAAAGTAGACAGGGAATGGTGGGAAGCCTGAGAACATGTACAGTGTTTTAGCCATTTTAAAATAGCTTTACTTTTTGTTCTTATTGCGCGGGGAAAATATTGGGAGATTTTTGAGTTGTGGAATCTGACCTATATTAACAGGGTCCCTTTGAGTGACATGTGCAGACATATCTGTGGGGGGAGGGGGAGCAAAGAAACCAGAAAGTCAGTTAGATAACTATTGGAATAATCTAGAAGATATGCTGGTGTATGAACTAGCAGTGAAAGTGGAAGCAAAAGTGGTCGAGTATTAATTTGTTTTGAAGGCAGAACCGATAGGATTTTCTGATGAAATGACTATCGTATCTCAAACCATCTGAGAAATGAATAGGACTCAAGTATGAATTGAATGATTTGCAGTTGCCATTTACCGGTCCTATTTTGCAAAGATTGGACTCCATTTATGATGTATTCAGTTGGAGATGCCTATTAGATGTCCCAGATCATACATCAAGTAGGCATTTGGATACGTAAGACTCTTATCTCAGGAGTGTGGTCCAAGCTACAGATATACATTTCAGAGTCATCAGTATATGGATAGTATTTAAAACCATGGGTGAAGAAGAGCCCACACAAAAAAGGAATAAAGATAGAGAAAAGAATTATGAAGACTGATTGCTGAGGCCTTCTAAACTTTTGAAGTTGTGTAGACAAAAAGGAAAACAGGCGGAAAAGACTGAAAGATAGACTGCAATGAGATGCCAAGTGAATGAAGAGATTGTGGTGTCCCAAAAGTCAAATTTAAAAAGTGGAATAGGACAAGAACTGAGGGTTGACCACTTTACTTAGCAATGTGGAGGTTAATTATGAGCTCGTCAAGAACCACTTTGGTAGACAAACATCTTCACCAGGAGCACAGACATCACTGGTTGTGCATTGTGAGAGAATGGAAGGAGAGGAAAAGAAGCAGGTGAATCTGAAGAAAGCAGTTTTTTTGTAAAGGGGATTTGAAAGCGAAACTGGGTTACAGTCAGAATTTTTTTTTTTTGGATAAGTTTGGATAAATACTATGTATGCTGTTATGAATAATGCAATCCGGAGTAAAAGTAGTTATGCATTATGGGTAATAACTGCTTGAAAAATAGTCTTTACTAGGTGAGAAGGAAGGTGATAAGTGCATAAATGGAGGAGTTGGACTTTGCTAAGGGTCTCCATATTAACAATACAGAAAACAAAGTATATAGGTGTAGGTCAGCTATAAGGTATATATGATTTTATAATCCTGTGGAAGTTCTCTTTTGATTTCTTCTCTTTTCTCAATGATGCAGGATGTAAGATAATTAGCTAAAAATCAAACTGAATAAGAGGGTAGGGAAATGATATTGAATGTTTTAAGAGACAGACAAAGGGTGTGAAATAGTCAACTAGGAAAGTGAGAGAGTAAATGGGTTAGACAATACCAGGATTTACTTGAATTCAGGTTATGAATTTGAACTTTGACTAGAAGGCATGGTTGTGTGTATCTTTGTGTGTATTCCTCAGCCACATTTCCCTATTTGCTTGTTAATACATTATAGAAAATAGTAGCATTTGTTTTCAATCTAACACTTGTACTATGTAGGAATTAATATAAGTGTACTTGCCTCCTTAAACACCTGTGTGAGTGTTTCTTTAGAATAGATACCCCAAAGTACAATTGCTTGGTAATAGCAAACGAAATATTACAATTATTGACAGGCACTGTGGCACATGCCTGTAGTCGCAGTTACTCAGGAGTTGAAGTGGGAGGATTATTTGAGTCCAGTTCAAGACAAGTCTGGGCAATATAGTAAGACCCTGTCTCACTATATTTAAGACAAAAACAGCATTTAAGATAAAAATCTTAAATGTTTAGTTTTTTCACCCATTAACGTGAAATATTTGTATTATTTCAGATGTTCCTTAATGATCTCGGGTAAAGTTTTAGTGTGTTTTATTGAAGTTTGGTAAATAAAAACAAACAAAAACAATTATAATTATTAAATAGCTACAGCCAAATTGTTCTTCAAAATGGTTGTACCGATTTATAATACCTTCTCACTAGCTGCATATAAGGTGAGAGCACCTACTTCCTCACATTTTCGCCAATGCAGCACATATTTTTTCACTCATTATTCTATTCCTTTTCTAATTGATTTTCAAGAATTTTTTCATTCTGAATACTAATATCTTGTCTTTTATTTCCATTGCAAATATTTGTTTACAAATTTATTTTGAGCTACAGGATTTTAACTGTATTCCTTCTAAGCATATAGCCAATTAACCATGCCATTTATTGAATAATCTGTCCCTTCCTTATTGACTTGAAATTTTACCTTTAATATAGAAAAATCCTTATAAACACATTGGCCTATTTTTTTAAACAATTTTGTTCTACTTATTTATTTATTAAGTTCTTAGGTCATTGTTTCTATTAGTATGGTTTTTACTATAATAAGAGTGCTCCTTGCCCCTTTTTTTTTTCTTTATAGGACTTAATGTGCTATGGAATATTATATATTTACTTGCTGTTTTATTAATTGTTCATTATTTATCCTTCCCACTAGAATGTAAGCTCCATGGGGGAAGAATGTCAGTTCATTCACAATGAATCTCGAGTGAGACATAATAGTTACTCAAATATAAGTTAATCAGATAAATGAATGAATTAATTAAAAACTTTAAAATATACATTGATATTGATAGGACAGGCCTTTCTTCTTTAAGTTTTCAAAATATTATTGGCTACTGTTGTATATTTACTTTTCCATACATATTTTACAATCAGTTTCTCACGTCCCATGGAAGATTGTTTTAGATTTTGAAATGGAGTCCCACTGAACTTTTAAATAATTTGGGAAAAGATAAAAACTTGAAATGTTGAGTTTTGTCATCCATTAACATATTTGTTATATATACAAGCACATATATTTAAGGTGCTTTTTTGAAGTGTGGTAAGTAAAAATTGTAAATATTTATTGCTAAGTTCATTCATATGATGTATTATAGTTATGTTCTATATTGTAAACAGAATTATTTTTCAGTTATATTTTCAAATTGCTTATTACTGGCATACAGAAAAAATAGGTAGGTATCTTTATATGTTGAGCTTATATTCAGCTACATAGCTGAACTTCATCATTATTTCATTTTTTTGGTATATTAGTTTAATTACCTAGAGTTATACAATGAACAGATTATTGTCTGTAAATAATGACAACTTGTTGTATTTTTTCCAATGTATATACCTTTTACTTGTCTTTTATTCACTAGGATCTCCAATATAATCCTAGTTGTAGAACTGAAAGCAGATATATTTGTCTTGTTCTTAACGTAAATATGAATGCCTATAATATTTCATCATTAAATAAAATGCTTGTTTTAGGTTGTTGATCTATATCCTTTATGAAGGTCGGGATCACATTGAGGAAAACGAGGAAATGTGAATATGATAAAATGTTCTTAGTAAATATTGAAAAATATTTTAATGGAATTCTTTCCTATAACATGGTGAGAAAATAAATTTATTATTATATTTACAACATTGAAGACATAATTATAATTATGTAATAATTCTTAAAACAAACTAAGAATAAATGAAATGTTAATTTTATAACATTTTTTCTGACAAAATTATAAGATATATAAACACAAATATTTCCCTTCACTTTTAACATTTAAAATGAGCAAATATAAGGCAATTTTTACAATAATATTTGTGAGTTGAATCAAAATCTCCAACTCTCTTAATACTTTGATATTCAAATCATTTATTAAAAATATATATATTTAATTATCTTTGTACATTGTTAATTTAACTTTTAAATGATGTAACTTCTTTTTTATTATTGTATTATTTATTATCATTATTATTATTATTGTTATTTGAGATGGAGTCTCACTGTGTTGCCCAGGCTTCAGTGCAGTGGTGCGATCTTGGCTCACTGCAAGCTCCCCCTCCCAGGTTCACGCCATTCTCCTGTCTCAGCTTCCCTGGTAGCTGGGACTACAGGTGCCTGCTGCCACGTCTGGCTAATTTTTTTTGTATTATTTTTAGTAGAGACGGGTTTTCAGCATGTTAGCCAGGATGGGCTCCATCTCCTGACCTCATGATCTGCCCACCTTGGCCTCCCAAAGTGCTGAGATTACAGACGTGAGCCACCGTGCCTGGCCTAAATGATGTGACTTCTAAATGAGGTTTTAATTTTGAAATATCTTTGGTTTTGATTGATGCAGTGTCTCAACATCACTTTAATAATCTTCATAAAATTATGTACCTCTGTAAAGATAAACATCTTAATTTCATCGTAGACACTTACATGCAAATACACTGATGTGATCATATAGGATATAAATTGTAATGCGGGGAAAATTGAGCAAAAAATAATTTTTCAAGTGGCCAATTTAATAATATTTACATTTACATATGTATATAAATGTGTGTGTAAACACATACATACATAAATACACACACACACAAAGAGAGAGAGAGAGAGATAGAGAGATGGTCTTATAGTTATTATGGGGTTATGTCCCAATAAACCCATTATAAATTTAAAACATTATAAGTCATATCAGTCAAAAATTTCTTTAATACACAAAACCTACTAAACATCATAGCTTAGCCTAGGCTGCCTTACATGTGTTCAGAAGATTTACATTAGTGCACAGTAGGGCATAATCATCTAACATAAGGCCTGTTTTATCATAAACTGCTGAATATCTCATCTAATTTATAGAGTATTGTACATCATGTAGAAATTATGATGATTTCACAACATCTTAAAGTTGAGAAATTGTAAGGTAAAAGATTCTAAATTGGGATTGTCTGTATGTAAACTCACATACACACACACACATATATAGTCATACATCACTTAATGATGTGGATACATTCTCAGAAATGTGTTATTAGGAGATTTTGTCATTGTGCAAAAATCATAGAGTGTACTTAAATAAATCTAGATGATACAGTCTACTACAAATCTAGACTATCTAGTATAGCTCTTAGTCTACAAACTTGGTAAGCAGGTTACTGCATTGAATGCTGTAGGCAATTGTAATGTAATGGTATTTGTGTATGCAAGATATCTAAACAGAATAAATATAAACAGAATAAGCCCATTGTGTTGGGCTACAATGTTATGAAAGCTACCACATCAGTCTGACCTTGATGAAAATGTTGTCATACAGCACATGGCTGTATATGGCTAAACAGTACATATATATATATATATATATATATATATATATATATATATATACACACACACACACATATATATACATATATATATATATATACACACACATATATATACATACACACACACACACACACCATTTTTGTTACCTCCAATTTTTCTAGATGTCAGGTAATTTACCAGAAAGAGTTGTTTTCTGGTCATAACTCTCCTGATGAAAATGGAATCTTGTCCAGCCAGAATGAAGAAACTGACAGACGATGATGATGAAAGCAATCCCCAGCTGTCCACATTGCTCATTAGCATAAGACACTCCCACCAGTGCCATCACAGTTTGCAAGTGCCATGGCAACAATTCAGAACTTACCACCACTTTCCATAGCAATTACCTAGAAGGTTCCAAACCTTTCCTGGAAAATTCTAAATGACCCGGTCCTCAATTTGCATTGACCACCCCTTAATTTGCATGTAATCGTAAGTGGGTTTCCATGAGCACAATTACAGTTGTCAAGAGCCCATATATTGCTGACTCTGGGCACACTGCCTGTGAGTTAGCCCTGCTCCATAATGAGCAGTACTGTTCAAGAAAGATTGCTATCTAATACCACTGCCTCACCTTGAATTATTTCCTGGGCAAAGCCAAGAACCCTCTCAAGCTAAGCCCCAGGTTTGTTGCTTGCCTGTCCTGCATCATCTGGCTACCATGAAGTGATGAAGATGACAAGAAAGAGGCAGTGACCAATATGGCAGTGAGACAACAGACAGAGCAGCGATCAGTGGAGAGACAGTGAGCCAGTAGTGATCAGAAAAGAGGCAAAAAGATAGCAGAGAGGTGGCAATTGGAGATAGATGGAGAGATGGTGGTCAGTAGGACAGCAAGACAGCAAGAGGAAGTGATTTACAAGAGATGGTGAGATGGTAATCAGTGCCAGAGCTGTAACACTAGCCAAAGTCTCTTTGAAGAGCCATCATCTTTCCTGGTGGGCAGCAGACCTGAGTGAATGGACAGGCAACCATAACACTGTCACCTCATGTGGGACCTGCTATTCTGGCCATCAGGCCAATGGGTCACTAGTCATCATGTCTGTCCCCATGTGACACCTGAGCCCACTCAAGTTGAGGGAACCTGTAGAGACCTTCACCCAGGTCACACGTGGAAGACTGGTCAGCACCATTTTGGCTCCTGCAGATGGGTGCATCTCCCCTCTGCTCTTCCACCACGATATTGGTTAAGCTAGAGAATAAAAGCTTCTGGCTAGGTGGCGAGTCGAAAAGTCCCTTTTTGGGTGCCCGGAACCATGTCTTTATCACCCCTTCCCCTGGTCCTTTTTCCTCTGACAGCATCTTATTGCTCTACCAGCCATTTTATTTTCAGTCCTAAAATGTATGTTTTGTATGCAGTCCTTTAAAAAATTATTATTATTATTTTGCTTTGACTCCCTGGGCAATGTTTAAGTCAGGACCATTTATTTTAAGAGATCCCCTGTTGTGTTGACTATAGAATTCCAGGGTCACGTTGTTCTGTGTCCCCAGCTAGGCCTTTGGGGTTCACTGTTGGCCACCCCCCAGATGCTACAGGGTTTTTGGCATTTTTCAACCCCTAGATACTGTGGGGTTTCTGGTATTTAGTTTGGGAACCCTTACTGGCTAATAGTTGGGTACTCTGAGTTTTGAGCATTTGGTATTATTAGCCGCCCCCTGGATGCTCCAGTGTTTTCAGTATTGGCATTCCTTTTAAGACTGTAGGGTAGAAAACCAGTCTAGGGGTTTGCCTTTTCTTGTATTCTGCCCTAAAGGTATTATTTTTTATAAGAGCAACTTATTTTCCTATACTTGATTTACACTTTTCTTTCTACATTTTGCTTAATAAAAATACTTATTTTGTCATATTTTATTCACTGACAAATGCTTGTAACCCCTTTCATAATACATTATTTACACCTTCTCTGCAGGAAGTGACAATCTAAAAAAAAAATAATTAAAGCCAAGTTGATTTTCCTCTCATTTGACTTAGAAAAACTTCTGTGATAAGTAGAAATCCTTGTTAGACATGGAAATAATGATAGGTATTTCAGAGGACTCACCA
Organism: Homo sapiens; assembly: GCF_000001405.40. Taxonomy (NCBI): domain Eukaryota; kingdom Metazoa; phylum Chordata; class Mammalia; order Primates; family Hominidae; genus Homo; species Homo sapiens. The sequence goes on along the minus strand of NC_000024.10, from coordinate 3,920,811 downwards.
CTAGCATGTATTTTAGGTTATTAGAGCATTTGAAATTCAGCTTAGAAAACAGAAACTCCTTTTCTATTGCAACACCTCTTGGGTCCAATAAAAATGAGAAAACCAAGAGATTTGGCCTAAACATGGTTCTATACATTATACTGCTATTTTACAACTGGACTTATTCTGTTTTTTTTTTTTTAAAGGAAAATGGAAGGAGGTCCCTTGTGTACAGGCTTTTATGGCCTTATACTGGCTCCTGTTAATTTTAGACACCAGAAAGTCATGCCCAAGGGATTCCCTCCTAGTGGTTCCCCCTAGAAGACCTACACCCTCTGTAGCCTACTTATTTCACCAATTCTGAGAGAGGTATATCCAGTATGTAAATAAAGGATTCCATCCCAAGGTTATCAGGCACCCCTCCTCCTTATCTAATTCATCTCAGCCTATACCAGCCTCTGTCCAAGGAAGTAAACCCAACCAGTACCACTGGGAGTGGGGCACCTAATCAGCCTTTAAAATCAAACCTGAGTCCACTCTGGGAGGTAGCTGATGGAAATTGGGAAATATTTATAGTACATATGTCATTTTCTATGTGTGATTTAGCTTTATACAGTAAAAAATTTGGCCAGGTTTCAGAGGATCCAGAAAAGTGTATGCAGGAGTTAAATACATTGCCTAATTTCTTTAATTTAATTGTCGTGATTTGCAAGTATTGTCCTCTCCTTGCTGTGCCATAAAGAAAATGCAGACAAAAATATGTGTGGCCTCAAATTGACATCTTAACAACACAACTAAAATAACTAGAGAACCAAGAGCAAACAAATTCCCAAGTTAGCAGAAGACAAGAAATAACCAAGATCAGAGTGAACTGAGAAAGATAGAGACACAAAAACCCTTCAAAAAATCAACAAATTCAGAAGCTATTTTTTTGAAAAAATTAATAAAATAGATAAACCACTAGCTAGACAAACAAGGAGAAAAGAGGGAAGAATCAAATAGACACAATAAAGAATGATAAAGGGGATATCACAACTGACCCCAAAGAAATACAAATAAACATGAGAGAATACTATAAACAACTTTATGCAAATAAACTAGAAAATCTAGAAGAAATTGGTAAATTCCTGGACACACACTCCTTCCCAAAACTGAACCAGGAAGAAGTTGAATCCCTGAATAGACTAATAACAAGTTCTGAAATTGGGGCAGTAATAAATAGTCTACCAAACAAACAAACAAACAGAAAAGTCCAGGACCAGATGGATTTACAGCTGAATTATACCAGAGGTACAAAGAGGAGCTGGTGCCATTTATTTCAAAATGATTACAAAATATTGAAAAGGAGGAACTTCTCCCCACCTCATTCTATGAAGTCTATGAAGTCAGAATTATCCTGATACCAAAACCTGGCAGAGATACAACCAAAAAAAGAAAACTTCAGGTCAATATCCCTGATGAACATCAATGCAAAAATCTTCAATAAAATACTGGCAAACCAAATACAGCAGTGTATCAGAAAGCTTATTCACCACGATCAAATCGGCTTCATCCCTGGGATGTAAAGGTTGTTGAATATACGCAAATCAATAAATGTAATTCATTACACAAACAGAACTAAAGACAAAAACCACATGATTATCTCAATAGATGCAGAAAAAGTCTTTGATAAAATTCAACATCCTTTCATGTTAAAAACTCTCAATAAACAAGGTATGGATAAAACATACCTCAAAATAATAAGAGCCATTTATGACAAACCCACAGGCAATATCATACTGAATGGGCAAAAGCTGAAAACCAGCAAAAGACAAGCATGCCCTCTCTCACCACTCTTACTCAACATAATATTGGAAGTTCTGGACAGGGCAGTCAGGCAACAGAAAGAAAAAAAGGGTATTCAAATAGAGAGGAAGTCAAACTGTCTCTATTTGGAGATGACATGATCATATATCTAAAAAACCCCATCCTCTCAACCCAAAAACTTCTTAAGCTGATAAACAACTTCAGCAAAGTCTCAGGATACAAAAGGAATGTGTAAAAATCACAACCATTCCTTTACATCAACAACAGACAAGCAGAGAGCCAAATCATGAATGAACTCCAATTCACAATTGCTAAAAAGAGAATAAAATACCCTAGAATACAGCTAATAAGGGAAGTGAAGGATCTCTTCAAGGAGAACTAAAAACCACTGCTTAAGGAAATCAGAGAGGACACAAACAAATGGAAAAACATTCCATGCTTATGTATAGGAAAAATTAATATCATGAATATGGCCATACTGCCCAAGGTAATTTATAGATTCAATGCTATTCCCAAAAAACTACCACTGGCATTCTTCACAGAATCAGAAAAAAACTACTTTAAAATTCTTATGGAGACAAAAAGAGCCCTTATAGCCAAGACAATACTAAGCAAAAAAGAACAAAACTAGAAGCATCATGCTACCTGACTTCAAACTATACTACAAGGCTATAGTAACCCAAACAGCATGGCACTGGAACAAAAATGGAAACAAAGACCAATGGAAAAGAATAGGGAACTCAGAAATAAGACCACACATCTACAACCACCTGATCTCCCACAAACCTGACAAAAGCAAGCAATGGGGAAAGGATTCCCTATTCAATAAATGTGCTGGGAGAACTGGCTAGCCATATGCAGAAAATGGAAACTGGGTCCCTTCCTTACACCTCATGCAAAAAATAAATCATGATGGATTAAAGACTTAAGTGTAAAATCCAAAACTATAAAAACCCTGGAAGAAAATCCAGGCAACACTATTCAGGACATTGGCACAGGCAAAGATTTCATGACCAAAATGTCAAAACAGCAACAAAAGTAAAAATTGACAAATGGAACCTAACTGAGCTAAAGAGCTTTTGCACAGCAAAAGAAACTATCATCAGAGTGAACAGATAACCTACAGAATGGAAGAAATTTTTTACAATCTATCTATCTGACAAAAGTCTAATATCCAGATTCTACAAGGAACTTAAACTTAGAAGAAAAATCAAACAACCTCCTTAAAAAGTAGGCAAAGGACATGAACAGACAATTCCCAAAAGAAGACATTCATGTAGCCAACAAACATATGATAAAAAGCTAAACATCATTGATCATTAGAGAAATGCACATCAAAATCACAATGAGATACCATCTCACACCAGTCAGAATGGCAATTATTAAGAGTCAAGAAACAACAAATGCTGGTGAGGCTGTAGAGCAATGGGAATGCTTTTACACTGATAGTGGCAATATACATTAGTTCAACCATTGTGGAAGACAGTATGGCGATTCCTCAAAGACCTAGAACTAGCAATTGCATTACTGGGTATATACCCAAAGGAATAAAAATCTTTTCATTATAAAGATACATGCACACATATGTTCATTGCAGCACTAATCACAATAGCAAAGATACGGAATCAACCCAAATGCCCAACAGTTATACACTGTATAAAGTAAATGTGGTACATATATACCATGGAGTAATCTGTAGCCACAAAAAGGAACAAGATCATGTCCTTTGCATAGACATGGATGCAGCTGGAAGCCATTATCGTCAGCAAACTAATGCAGGAACAGAAAACCAAACACTGAATATTCTCACTTATAAGTGGGAGCTGTATAATGAGAACATATGGACACAGGGAGGGGAACAACACACACTGGGGCCTGTTGTTGGGAGGGACAGGGGAGGGAGAACCTCAGAAAAAGTAACTAATGTGTGCTGGGCTTAATACCTAGGTGATGGGTTGATAAGTGCAGCAAACCACCATGGCATATGTTTACCTATGTGACAAATTTGCACATCCTGTACATGTATCCCAGAACTTAAAATTAAATTAAAAAGTAAACAAATAAAAACAACAACGAAAAAATAAATGTGTGTGGTTAAGCCAGTCAATTATGATGAAGTTAGAAAAATAACTCAGGGAAAAGACAAAAATCCTGCTCTTTTTCAGGGTCATTTCTTTGAGGCACTCAGAAAATATTCTAATTCAGACCAACACTCTCAAGAATGGCAAGCTCTACTATGTATACATTTTATTACTCAATCTGTCCCTGACATTAGGAGAAAGCTACAAAAAGCAGCAGTTGGACCTCAACCCCTTGTGAGACAACTCTTAAATGTAGCCTTTAAAGTTACAACCATAGAGGCAGGAAAAAGAGAGACAGCCAAGAAGCGCATTTGTTGATAGTTTCTTTAGCCCCTTTCCACCACAGAATTACCCATCTTGAGAAAGAAAATGTCATGAGATCAGCATCTAGGATGCCCAGAGAAGAGCCCCCAACATCCCAGCCCCTGGGCCAAAATCAGTGTGCATACTATAAGCAAAAGGGCCACTGGAAATTAGAATTTCCTAAACAACCCCAGTGAGCGCAAAAAGCTTCCCATCAATACTAGAGCTAACTTCCTTCCACTAGCCCCAACGAGCTGCCTTGCTCAAGTAAGTTTACTAGGAGACTTGGATCTTTGACCTGATGAACAGCTCCTCAAAGTGGCATACAAATGGCCGCTTTAACATTTTTCTTTAGTGTCTTCACTGCTGGGTGAGCTCTTCGGTTGCTTGGGAAACCCAGGGTCTCCCCTTAAGCAATGAAGTTTACCCTCTCCCTTCCTTATGTGATATTATGTAATCATCTTCCCTGCCTCTTCCTGTCTTTCATACCTACTGGGGCAGACAAAATTTGGCCAGGTAGATGGGTCCCGATTTTATAAATAACTTGGATCCAATTGTCTAGTATAGGTTACTTTGTGTGATGTGTGCTGTATCTAGCATGCTATCAAATTGGCTTAGAAATAGAAGAGTGCTGGTCAATTAAACAAATAAGAAGTCTAAACTTGTTAGTTTGAAAAGAATATCGTGTCTTCTAAAATTTAACTCTAAGATTTTTACCTAGGTAAACCACTGATGTTTTGGTATGGTTTAGAGTTGTTAAAATCAGTTTAAATAGTGAGCTTCTTTACAGTTTAAATCATATAATTGTAAAATGGTTTTAATCTATGGAACAACGCCTGATGCGCAGTTCAGATTCTTGCTCCCTAGCTTTATATAATATGTGCCAAAAACGATGTGTTTTTTCATTTGGAAAAAGAGTATTTTCATCAAATTAAGAAGTTATTAAAAGGAAGTTTCAAAATATAAAGAAATCAGTGAGTAGAAAACAGAGGTGTGAAGTAAGTTATGGATAGATGTATTTTTTTTCAAAGGAATGATATAAAGAAAGAGTGACTTTTTAATAAAGAGGGATTTTGTACAGTAAATTCTTGTCCTAGAGTAACAAGACTGGTTATTTAAGAAAAAGGTAGAATAAGACACATAGGGAGCCCAAGTATGTTGTAGATCATCTGTGGGGGTCATGATATGGGATTTATGAAGGGGAATTTGTGAGAAGAATTTTGTTCATGATTAAGCTAACTATGATTGAAGAAAAATGGTTTGCAGTAGACTTTCTAGAGAATGATCTACCTATGGGAACTGGGTTTTCTTTGATAAATTGTGGGAAATTTTGTTTTTAATGCTACAACTGGTTTCTTTAAAAATGTCTTAGATTTCTGTCTCAGCAATTTAACTGTTATTGTGTCTCACTTCTTTTTAGCTTTTTCTCCCTTTTCAAAGGCATAGCATGATGACTCTATCCTTTAGCTTTTTCATCAGCTCCTGTAACTTTTTTCCCCTCCAGTTCTGTTGCTCTGGCCTGATGCTAGTGTTTTGTCTTAGATGTCTGTGGAAACAGTGTTTTCCCACAGTATAGTTTGATTCTATGCTCTCAGTTTTACCTGCCATATAACCTTATTTTTGGCTTTTAGTTTTTGATTCTTATATCACTTAGAAAGATTTTATGGGCTAATGAGTGCATGCCCACTTCCATTCCTGTCTGGCCTAGAACGTTACGTTAAATTGGCTATATATATTTTCACTCTAATTCCCTTGGGCAAAGGGAATCCCAAAGAAACTTAAGAAAACTACCCGGGGCCATAACAGGAAAAAGGGGGTCAGACATGCCTCACTATGTCCCATTTACAATGTAGGCTAGGTTCACAAAGACCTTCAAGAATATAGAAATACAGTATTGTCTCCTCCTCAAAAATTTAGTCTTACTAAAAACTTAAAAAGAAGAATTCCCTGAGAATCAATTACAAGCAAAATGGGAGGGCCATACTATCAGGTATTGTTAAGTATCCTCTCTGCTATTAAATTTCATGGAATCACTAGCTGGGTACACCTGTCCAAGATTAAACTGGTTTCTTATAAGTCCTCATAGGCATAAGAGTAAGGTACCGTGGCTTACACTTATAAACTCCAAAAAGACTTAAAGTTATTATTTCATGAACACATAGATAAATAACATGATGCTGTGGGTGGGCTTAGGAATATTAATTTTTCTCTTCCTCATATGCTGTGGGTGGGCCTAGGAACATTAATTTTTCTCTTCCTCGTAATCGTAGTTTTCTTATTTAACCTCCTAGGTTTATATCGTTTACATTCCACATAAAGGTGATGCTGACACAAGGCTTCCAACCCAACCAATCATCTGACCTGGAAAATGAAAATATCCTGCCATCGCACCCCTCAGATTAGGTACCAGAGATTTTTACTCCTCCAATGCTAGGCAGGGCCTATACCTATAGAATCATCAAGAAGCAGTTCCAGAAGATGGACCCCTGCTCTTCTACTGCCCCCTTAAGGTTAAAGAGAAGTATCTAATCTCTGAGTGAGAAATGAGGTAGGAGACAGGCAGGACTTGGTTCCTGGTCACAACCCTGCTAGGGTTGAACAGGATCTGGTCCAGACAGGATGAGGTGAAGAAACCAGCAGGAACAAACAGATGGTGATGAAAGTGATCCCTAGTTGCCCTCATTGCTCATTAGCATAAGATACTCCCACCAGTGCCATCAGAGTTTACAAATGCAATAGCAATGCCCGAGAAGTCACCACTCCTTTCCAAGGCAATGACCTGGAAGTTACTGCCCATTTTCTGGAAAGTTCTAAGTAACTCATGCATTTATAGGTAATAGGACTCCATTGTAGTTCCTTTCACTCCTGGCTTTCTAGGAGTTTTTGTTATTTCAACTCATAAATGGGTTTTCATATCAATCCAATGCTTTGTGATTTCTGTAAGTACTATATTATTTTCTTGTTTATTATTTTAATATAGTAAATTACATTGATATGTTTTTCTAATGGTGACGCACCCTTTCTCTCTTAGAATAATCCGTGTTTGGTAATGACATTGTATTATTTTAATACGCTGTTGGATTCCATTGACTAACATTGAGAACTTTGCATCTTCATTCTTAAGAGATGTTAGCCTCTTGATCATTTTTCTTCATTTTTTCTGATGTGGGTTTATGTGTATGTCTATTTGCTATTCTTATTCAATTTTCGTATTAGTATTATGCTATGTTTACTATTCTATATGTTTTTATGGGAATCTCATTCGTACCTATTATTTAAAATATAATATTCTGATCACTTTAAACTTGTATCTGCAGTTCAGACAATTAAGTTCTTATCTGTACATTCAACTATCTATGAGAAAGTATCACCTATGTTTCTAAAAATCACTTCAAAATTAACTCTTTATAAATCAAGTGTATTTCTTCTTTGTAGTACATCCTTTCTATGAGTCAATAATTACATTTTTGATCTGATTCACTTAAGTAGAAACCCATTTAAGTCACTTGGAAGTTCACTTGCTATCTCACTTATCACATTAAATTAGTAATTACATGCAAACAAGTATACCCCTAAATATCTTTTCAATATGTCTTCTAGTCTTTCCTTCCATTGTCACTCACTTAGTTAAGGCCTTCATGATGCCTCAGCTGTGCTACTGCAATGATTTCCTGTTCTTTCCGATTTTATTTTCACCCTTTCAACTCACCTCCCAAACTACCACAACAGATATTTTTTCTGAATTAGAAATCTGATTATGCCACTTGCCCACTTAAAATGCCTCAGTGGCTTCCCATTGACTTCAGAAAAAAGATTAAGCTCTACACTAGTGAGGAAAGCCTCTTTCTCTTCTAACCATTGTCTAACTTTCTGGTCTTAATCCCTATCAATCCTTTTTTTTTCCAGATGTAGTAATAATTTTACTTTTTCTAAGGAGCCATGCTTTCCTTTGCCTTGTTATTTTAAACCAAGTTTGCTGTCTTCTGCTTCAAATAACATTATCTGCTCCTTAAATGTTACTAAACCTTCATAACTCATCTCAAGCAAGATTTCCTCTCAGAAACATTTTCTGACTTACCCTCCCCTAGAATATTGAGGAATATATATTTTATTTATGCTTTTTCTTTATGACCCTCTAGTATCGAGTATACTATGATATAGTATTAAAACAGTTAATTGTTTTGCCTATGTTATTCAGTAAATTGAAATGCCTCAGGATACTAGTCTTGTATGTCTCGATATTTCCAAATTTAGTACAGTCCCAGGCAGAAATTTGATAATCTATGAGTATCATAGAATGAATGAAATTGACAAAGCTATTTTGAAAATTAAATAGTGAAGGAGAGAGATTGTGCTATGACAATCCACTCAGAACAAATTCTAAGTCTAAAATACAAAAATGGACAGGAAGTAGAAACTAGGAAAGCACAAGAAATAATTAGAATTAGTCAGATTTCAACATGTCCTTTCTGCAGCCCTCTTGGGCTTTGCCAAACCCTCATTAAAATGATGGTGACTAAACGAAAAATGACAATGGTCATTAAAATGTATTAAGAACTTCCTATATTCCAGCCACTGTGTTAGATAATTTATAATAATAATCTTATTCTTAAATCAATATAAATAAAACTATACCCAAGAAAAAACTTGTATTTAGAAAGATTAGCCCAAATTATGGAGATGGAGTTTGTTGCCAAATTTGTCGGGCTACAAAGCCTTTGATTTTCTTACACACCCCACAATACATCTGTTGCTTCTGTATAGTTCTGATCCAATCATAGTTACTACTATTGCAGTGACAAATTTCTTCTCATGTGACATGATCTTAAGTAGCATGTAATTGTAAGTCTTTTATATTTTAGTGCAGAACACTAATTGTTTTATGCTGAAACTTCCATATTTTATTCTAGAACTATTTAAACTGAAATTACACTTAGCAAATCTACTTAGCATCATTTAATGATTGCCAAGTTATGACTTAAAAAGAGATGCAAATAATCTGAATAAATTTAATAATTTATAGGCTGTGCTTGTGTCTTTCATGATTTTTATTATTTTCTCACTCTATCTAAAGTGTTAGTATAAAAGTAAATTAGCTAACTTTCAGAGTTTTCCTTTATGGTTTTTAAGATAAAGTTGTCCAGAATGAGTCTGGTGTGTGAAATTGAAAGTAAATATATGCATTTCCCGCAACTTTACCATACACAGCTGTCATTCTAATGCCACTGGAAAGCAGGTTTTCTTCAAAGTTGTGTACTTTCTTTTAGAATACAGAAGCAATAAATAATAACATTTATAAATTAAGTCATAATTTGGGTGAAGCATTACTTATCAGATATAATTTGAGGATTTCTGAAGAAAATAAGCTTCAATTTTTGCTAACATCTGGATCTTCTTATTTCAATAGCTTCCCTGGTTTGTAAAAATACTACCTAATATGTACCTTCTGTCATTTTAATTGATTTAGTTGTTCACTATAAGCTCCTGTCTTTGTAAGTTCTGCATTTAATTCATATATGTATGAAAATTACTTAGAAACTAACAATAACACAATTTTTGAGTCTGAGAACAGATGGCTCCTTTGGGTAAAAACAATCTGGTAATGTGAGTTCTCTATATATATTTAACTAATTCTACCCCGATCTATTTCATTCAATGTTACTAGGAAATAACATTAACTGTGTAAAGTTTTTTATCTTTGAACATTTATTTATCATTTTTAAAATTAAGCTAAGATAATCATAACTAAATTTAACTTTTTAAAATTGTACACTTTAATGACATTAAATACATTTAACTTGTTGTGCAAACATCACCACCATCCATCTGCAGTACTCTTTGCATTTTGCAAAATTGAAGGTCTGTACCCATTAACCTATAATATCCTTTTCCTCCTTCTCAGTTTGTGGAAATCACCACTCTATTTTCCGCCTTTATGTATTTGGCTACTCTAGGTACCTTATATAAATTAAATCATACAATATTTGTACTTTTGTGACTGATTTATTTAACTTAGAATAATTTTCTCAAGTTATTCATGTTATATCATGTATCACAATTTTCTTCCTTTTTTCCATTGTGTGCATATACAACATTTTTTTTTTTTCCTATCCATTCATCTGTCAGTGAACATTGAGTTTGCTTCCACTTTTTGGCTACTGTGAGTAATGGTGCTATGAATATGCATGTACAGATATCTCAAGTCCCTGCTTTCAATTCTTTTGTGTATGTACTCGAGTGGAACTGTTATATGATATGACAGTTATATTTCTAATTTCTTGAGAAACCACCATGCCGATTTCCACAGTAACTGCACTCTTACACTTTCTCCAGCATTGCAGAAGAGTCGCTGTATATTTACATCCTTTCTACCACTTGTAACTTTGTATTTTTCTTTTTATAATTATGATCCTAATGGGTATAATGTTCATCTCATTGTGATATTGATTTGCATTTCCCTAACGATTCATGATGGTGAGCATTTATTTCAGGTGCTTTTAGCCGTTTTGGAGAAATATGTATTCAAACCCTTGGCCCATTTTTTAATCAAGTTGTCTTTTTTGTCATTGAGTTTTAGGAGTTCTTTATATGTTCTGAATATGAATCATCCCCTGCTGTGGAGTTAATTGTGTCCCTGCCAAATCCACATGTTGAAGTCATAACTCCTAATTTGACAATATTTGGAGATAAGGGCTATATGGATGTACAAGTTAAATGAGGTCATGGGGTGGTTCCCTGATCTGACAGGATTAGTTTTCCTGTACGATGAGACACAAGACAGCTGTCTTGCTCTTTCCATCATGTGAAGAAACAGAGAAAGTTGGCTGTCTGCAAGCCAGGAAGAGAGCCCTCAATATAAAATAATCTTTCCAATCCTTAATCTGGGAATTGTAGCTCCAAGTGTGAAAAAATAAATTTCTGTTGTTTAAGGTATCCAGTCTATGGTGTTTTCTTATAAGAGCATGTGCAGCCTAATGTAACGCCTTATCAGATATACGACTTGCAAATACTTTTCCCATTGTGCAGGTCACATTTTTACTTTGCTGATTCTGTCTTTTGAGGCACAGATTTTAGTTTTGATACAGTCCAATCTATCTGTTTTTTTATTTTGCCGCCTGTGCTCTTGGTGTCATAGACAAGAAAACATTGCCTAATGCAAGGTAAGGAAATTTTCCCCTATTTCTCTTTCTACAAGTTTTATAGTTATAGTTCTCATATTTAGGTCTTTTATTCATTTGAGTTAATTTTTGTGTAGGCTGTAAGATAAGGGTCCAACTTCATTGTTTTGCATGTGGATATTCAGCTTTCCCAATATAATTTGTTAAATACTATTTCACCAAGGAATGGCACTGGCACCCTTGATGAAAATTATTTGACCACATGTGAGACCACATTTGGGGGCCCCTATTTTATTCAATTCAACAATTTGTCACTCTTCATCCCAGTATCAAGGTATTTTGATTTCCGTAACCTTTTAGTAAAATTTGACATAAGAAAGTGTGAGTACTACGACGTTGGTTTCCTCTATCAGATAGATTTTTTTTTCTGCCTTTTTGTGTCCCTTGTGATTCCATATGAATTTGAGTATAAACTTTTCTACTTATGCAAAAAAATTTTGGAATGTTGATAGCAATTGCGTTAAATCTGTAGATCGCTTTGGGCAGTATAAGCATCTTAATAATACTAGGTATAGCAATTCACGAATACTGGATAACTTTCCATGTACTACTGTCTTATTCGTTTCTTTCAGCAATATTTAATGGTTTTCAGTGCTCAAATATTTCACCTCACTGGTTAAACATATTTCTAATACTTTTTAAAGATTATTGTAAGTAGAATTTCCTTTTCAGATTGTTTGCTGTTAGTGCATAGAAATGCATCTGATTTGGGGGCGTTGACTTTGTATTCTGAAACTGTTTGACTTTTTATTTGTTCTAACGTGTGTGTGTGTGTGTGTGTGTGTGTTAAATATTTAGGGATTTCTACACATTAGATCACATATTAGATCACATATTAGATCATATCATATCTTCTGTTATTTAAGATAATTTTACTTCTTTCTATCCCATAGGAATGCCTTTTTTTTCTTGCCTAAGTGCTCTGGCAAGCCCTGGTAAGGGCTTTCAGTACTATGTTGAATAGAAGTGCAAAAACAGGTGATATGGTTTGACTGTGTCCCCCAAAGTTCATGTGTTGGAAACTTGATCCCCAATTTGATGATGTTGGGAGGTGAGGCATAATTGGAGGTGTTTGAATCATGGGAGCACCACTCTCATGAAGGCGTCAATTCTGTTATTGTGGAGGAGGCTTTATTATCAAGGAAGTAAGTTTCTTATAAAAGGCCAAGTTTGATCCCCGCTGGCTGTCTCTCTCTTTTTCGTTCTGCCATGTGATGTCTTCCACCATATGATGACACAGCAAGAAGGCTCTTACCAGATGTTGGCATTCCTTTTTTGGACTTCCTAGCATTCTGAACTGTGAGAAAATAAATTTCTATTATTTATAAATTACCCATTCTCGTGTCTTCTGTTATGGCAGCACAGAATAAACTAAGACAGCAGACATTCTTCTCTTTTTCTTACTCTTAGAAGGAATTCAGGTTTTCACCATTATGTGTGATTTTAACTGTGGGCTTTTCACATACGGTCTTTATTATATTGAGGTAGTTTCCTTTTATTACTATTTTTAAGTGTTTTTATCATGAGAAGGTATTAAATTTTCAAAATTTCTTTGTCTGTAACAATTGAGATGGTCATGTGCCATTTGTTCTTTTTTTACATTACTGTGCTGTTTTCCTTTGATTTTTAGCTTTTATTTTAGGTTTAGTGTTACAAACTCAGGGTTTTTTTTTTTTACATACAAAAGCTTGTGTCATAAGGTTTGTTGTACAGTTTATTTCATCAACCAGGTATTCAGTCTAGTGCCCATTAGTTATTTTTCCTGATCCTCTCCCTTCTCCCACCCTCTGGAAGACAATAGTGTGTGTGCTGTTTCCCTCTATGAGTCCATGTGTTCTTATCATTTATCTCCCACTTATTAGCAAGAACATACTGTATTTGGTTTTCTGTTTCTGTGTTAGTTTGCTAAGGATAATGTCCTCCAACTCCATCTGTGTCCCAGCAAAGGACAAGATCTCATTCTTTTTATGGCTGCAGAGTATTCTATGATGTATAAGTACCATATTTTCTTTATCTAGTCTATCATTTATGGTTATGTAAGGATGATTTCATGTCTTTGCTCTTGTGAATAGTGCTGCAAAAAACATATGCATACATGTTTCTTTATAAAACATATGCATACATGTTTCTTTATAATAAAAAGATTTATATTCCTTTGGGTATATACCCAGTAATGGGATTTTGGGGTCAAAATCCAAGGATTTTGGATTCCTGTCTTTAGGCCTTTGAGGAATGACCACACTGTCTTCCACAATGGCTGAACTAATTTACACTCCCACCTACAGTGTGTAAGTGTTCCTTTTTCTTCACAACCTTCACATCTGTTACTTTTTAACTTTTGAATAATATTCTTTGTGATTGGTGTTAGATGGTATCTCACTGTGGTTTGGATTTGCATTTCTCTAATAATCAGTGATGTTGAGCTTTTAAAAAATTATTGGTGTCAACATATATGCCTTGTTTTGAAAAGTGCTGTTCGTGTTTTTTTGCCCACTTTTTTGTAGGGTTGTTTGTATTTTTCTTGTAAATTCATTAAGTTCCTTATAGATGCTGGATATCAGACCTTTGTTGGATGCATAGTTTGCAAAAATTTCTCCCATTCTGTAGGTTGTCTGTTTACTTTGTTGATAGTTTTTTTAATGTTGTGCATAGGCTCTTTAGTTTAATTAGATCCAATTTGTCCATTTTTGCTTTTGTTGACATTGTTTTTGACTTCTTCATCATAAAATCTTTGCCCATGCCTATGTCCTAACTGGTATTGCCTAGGTTGACTTCCAGGGTTTTTATAATTTTGGGTTTTACATTTAAGTCTTTAATTCATCTTGACGTAATTTTTTTGTATGGTGTAAAGAAGGGTTTCAGTTTCAATCTCCTGCATATGTCTGGCCTGTTATACCAGCACCATTTATTGCATAGGGAATGCTCTTCCCATTGCTTGTTTTTGTCTGGTTTGTCAATGATGAGTTAGTTGTAGGTTCATGTTCTTCTTATTTCTAGGTACTCTAATCTGTTCCATTGGTCTATCTGTCTGTTTTTGTACCAGTCCCATTTGTTTGGGTTACTGTAGCCCTATATAGTAGTTTCAAGTCAGGTACAGTGATGCCTCCAGCTTGTTTTTTTCTTTTTTTCTTTTTACTTACAGTTGCCTTGGCCATTGAGGCTCTTTTTGGTTTTATATGAATTTTAAAATAGTTTTCTTTGTTTCTGTGAAGAATGTTAATGGTGATTTAATAGGAATAGCATTGACTCTATAAATTGCTTTGAGTAGTATGGCCATTTAAAAAATATTGATTTTTTCCATCCATGAGCATGGAATGTTTTTGCATTTGTTTGTGTCATCTCTGACTTTTTTTGAGCAGTGGTTTGTAGTTCTATTTGTGGAGATATTTCACCTCCATAGCTAGCTGTATTTTTAGATATTTTAATTTTTTTCTGGCAATTGTGAATGGGAGTTTGTTTCTAATTTGGCTCTTGGCTGTCGTTGAAGTATAGAAATGGTAGTAACTTTCGCATATTGATTTTGTATTCTGAGATTTTGCTGAAGTTGCTTATCAGCTTACGAAGCTTTCCAGCTGAGAATATGGGGTTTTCTAGATACAGGATCATGTAATCTGCAAACAGGGATAGTTGTACTTTCTCTCTTCCTTTTTGGATGCCCTTTATTTCTTTCTCTTGTCTAATTGTTTTGGCTAGAACTTCCAATGCTATGTTTACTAATAGTGGTGAAAGAGGGCATTCGTTCCTTGTGCTGGTTTTTAAGAAGAATTCATCCAGCTTTTGCCCATTCAGAATAATGTTGGCTGTGGATTTGTCATAGATGGTTCTTATTATTTTGAGATGTTTTTCCAATACCTTTATTTAGATTTTTAACATGAATGGATGTTGAATTTTATCAAAAGTCTTTTCTACATCTACTGAGATAATTGTGTCTTTCTTTTTTGTTTTTAGTACTGTTTATGTAATTAATCACATATATTGATTTGCTTATGTTGAACCAACCTTGCATCCCAGATATGAAGTCTCCTTGATCATGGTGGATAAGCTTCTGGACGTGCTACTGGATTCGGTGTGTCAATATTTTGTTGAGAATTTTTGCATTTATGTTCAAGCATGTTCGTCTGATGTTTTCTTTTTTGTTATCTCTGCCAGATTTTGGCATCAGGATAATGCTGGCCTCATTGAGGAGAAGTCTCTCCTACTCAATTTCATGGAATAGCTTCTGTAGGAATAGTGTCAACTCTTCTTTGTACATCTGGTAGAAATCAGCTGTGAATTCACCTGGTTCTGGGCTCTTTTTGGTTTATAGGCTATTTATTACTGACTCAATTTCAGAGCTCATATTGGTCTGTTCAGAGATTCAAATTCTCCCTGGTTCATTTCTGGAGGGTGTAAGTTTCCATTACTTTATCCATTTATTCTAGATTTTCTAGTTTGTGTGCACGCAGATGTTCATAATATTCTCCAATGGTTGCTTGCATTGCTCTGGGGTGAGTGATAATATCCCTCTTGTCATTTCTGACTGTGTTTATTTGAATCCTATATCTTTTCCTATTTATCAGTCTACCTAGTAGTTTCTTTGTTAATTATTTCATCATGACGTTAGCCGATTATTTTGCAGACTTCTTTATATGGTTGCTTTATAGTGTCACTGGTCTGTGTAGTTCAGTGTGTTTTTTGTAGTTCTTGGTAATATTCTTTCCTTTCCATATTTAGTGCTTTATTGCAAGTCTGAGAGTAACATATTTTCTCAGCATTTGCTTCTCTGTGAAGGACCTTATTTCTTCTTTGCATATGAAGATTAGTTTGGCTGGATATGAAATTCTGGGCTGGAATTTCTTTTCTTAAAAATGTTGAATATTGGCCCCTAATCTCTTCTGGCTTGTAAAGTTTCTTCTGAGAGGTCGGCTGTTAGTCTGATGGGCCTTTACTTTGTAGTTAATCTGTCCTTTCTCTCTAGCTGTCTTTAAGATTTTTTTAATTTCATTTGACACTTGGAGAGTCTGATGACTATTTGTCTTGGGGATGATCTTCTCATAGAGTGTCTTACTGGGGTTATCTGCATTTCCTAAAGTTGAATGTTGGCCTCTCTAGCTAGGTTAGGGAATTTTTCATGGATACGTCATGAAAAATGTTTTCCAAGTTGTTTCCATTCTTCTAGTCTCTTTCAGGTGCACCAAACGATCATAGATTTGTTCTCTTTACATAATTCCATGTTTCTCGAAGATTTTGTTCATTCCTTTTTATTCTTTTTTTCTCTATTCTTGTCTTCCTGTCTTGTGTCAGAAAGACAATTTTCAAGCTACAAGATTCTTTCCTCCACTTGGTCTATTCTTCTATTAATACTTGTGATTGCATTATGAACTATTTGTAGTGTGTTGTTCAGCTCTATTGGGTTGGTTATATTCTCTTCTATACTGGCTGTTTTCTCTGTCAGCTCCTGTATTGTTTTATCATGATTCTTAACTTCTTTGCATTGGGTTACAACATACTCCTTTAGCTCAGTAAACTTCATTCCTATATATATTCTGAATTCTATTTCTGTCATTTCAGCCTTCTCAGCCTCAGCCTGGTTTCGAATCTTTGCTATAGAGGTGACGCAGTCATTTACAGTAAAAGGAACACTGGCTTTCTGAGTTTTCAGCAATCTTGCACTGATTCTTTCTCATATTTAGGGCTTATCTACCTTCAATCTTTGAGGTTGCTGCTTCTTTTAAATATATAACATTCTGCCTACCTTTCCATAAGGCTGCTGCAGTATGCTTGGGGTCCCAGTTTTTCCAGTACCTGGAGGTAACACCAGTGAAAGCTAGAAAACAGCAAATATGGCAGTTTTCTCCTTTTTTTGGGAGCTCTGTCCCAGGGAGGTACAGACCTCTTGCTGGCCCAAACGCACCTGTAGGAAACGGCTGAAGAACCCATTTGGGAGGTCTCACCCAGGCAGGAGGAATGAGATCATGGGCCTCATTAAAAAAGTTGTCTGATCATGTTTTTGTAGAGCAGCTGTGCTCTTCTGGGGGTTCATGTCCACCTCTGGCAGCCTCAGACACTCTGAAACCCAAAGGCTAGAATGGATAAGTCATCCAAACAGCCAAGATGGTGGCCTGTCTCTCCTCTTGATAGCTGCATCCCAAGGAGGCCCAAATCTTCTGTCAGCCAGAGAACACTGGTGAGGGTAGCCACAGATCCTAGTTCAGGGGCTCCACTCAGTGATGAGGAATGGGGTCAGGGACCTGCTTAAAAAGCAGTATGGCCATGTTTTTGTGGGGCCACTGTGCTGTGTTGAGGTACCATTTCCACCCCCTGTAGGCTTGGACTCTCCAAGGCTGGAAAGCCAGAACTGCTGAGTCATCCAAACAGCAAAGATGGCAACCTGCACCTCCTTCTGGAAGTTTTGTCCCAGCAAGTTTCCAAATCCCTTCAGCTGGAGAACACTGGTGGGTGTGGCTCAAGGCTCTGGTTGGGAGGTTCCACCTTAGTGAGGAGGAACAAGATTGAGAACACACTTAAAGAAGCAATATATTCATGCTTTTGTAGAGCAGCTCTGCTGTGCTGGGGTACCTCTTCTGCCTCAGTTGGCTTGGGCTCTCCAAAGCTCACAGGCTGGAATGTCCAAGGTACCCCAACAGCAAAGCTGGCAGCCTACTCCTCCCCACCATGAACTCTGTCTAAGGTAGGCACAATATTGCTACTGGTGGCTGGCTATCAAACCAAGCCAGTGGGTCTTATCCTGTGAGTCACAGTGGAAGTGGGGCCTGCAGACCTTCACTGATTGGGACCCTGGCTCCAGCCTCTTTCCTAGAGGTATGTATGGGGCTCTAACCACCCACTTTTTCAGAGTGACAGTTACTTCTACTGGGAAGCCCAGAAATCTACAATATCCAAAGCTTCCATGTCTCCATATGTGCCTGAGTGGCAGCTTTGCCAAGGCTCCAAGTAGCTCTGTGTGTCAGCCTGAAGGCCTTGTTGAAGTGGGTTCACCAGGGGATCTCTTAACCTGATGGTTGGAAAGATCTGTGAGATGAGTGTGGTTTTCTGAAGTTGCACATTCACTCACCACTTCCCTGGGTAGGGGAGGTTCCCTTTGCACTGTATTGTTCCCAGATGGGCCATCAAACTGCCTTACTATTCTCTATTCTTCAGGGGTCGAGCTGTTTCCTTGAGTAGTTCCAATGTAAGCATCTGGATGTTTCAGCTGAAGGTACCGTATTTGCTCACCCCTTCCATTTCTCTCCATGAAAGCCACACACCCTAGCTGCTTCTAGTCAGCCATCTTGGGAATACCCTGATTGATTTTTATAGGGTGAATTTTCCTTACATTCCAGAATAAAAACCACATTTTTGATGGTGTATAATCCTTTTAAAATACTCAAATTCTCTTTGCTACTATTTTGTTGACAATGTTTGCATCACTATTAATCAGGAATATTTGGCTGTACCTTGCTTTACTTGTACTTTTGTTGTCTAGTTTTGGTATCAGAGTAACTGGCCTCATAGAATTAGTTAAGGAGTGTTCTCTCCACTTCATTTTTTTTTTTTAAGTTTCAGAAACGTTGGTGTTATTTCTTCTTTAAATGTTTGGTATAATCCGCCAGTTGATAATGGTTTGGTTCTGTGTCCCCACCCAAATCTCATGTTGAATTGTGATTTCCAGTATTGGAGGTGGGGCCTGGTGGAAGATAATTGGTTCCTGGGGATGGTTTCCAATGATTTAGCACAACCCACTAATCCTGTCTCATGATAGAGTTCTCACAAGATCTAGTGGTTTGAAAAGTGTGTAGCACCTGGCTGGGTGCAGTGGCTCATGCCCATAATCCAAGCACTTTGAGAGGCTGAGGCGGGCAGATCACAAGGTCAGGAGATCGAGACCATCCTGGCTAACACAGTAAAACCCCATCTCTACTAAAAATACCAAAAAATTAGTCGGGCATAGTGGCAGGCCCCTGTAGTCCCAGCTACTCAGGAGGCTGAGGCAGGAGAGAGGCAGAGCTTGCAGTGAGCCAAGATCGTGCCACTGCATTCCAGCCTGGGCGACAGAGTGAGACTTTGTCTCAAAAAAAAAAAAAGAAAGAA
This sequence comes from Homo sapiens, assembly GCF_000001405.40. NCBI lineage: Eukaryota > Metazoa > Chordata > Mammalia > Primates > Hominidae > Homo > Homo sapiens. The sequence continues at coordinate 3,901,394 of NC_000024.10, read as the reverse complement.
AGAAAAAAAAAGAAAAGAAAGAAAAGTGTGTAGCACCTCCCCACTTTGCTCTCTATCTCTTCTGCCGGACATATGAATATGTGCCTGCTTCCCCTTCACCTTCTGCCATGATTGTAAGTTTCCTGAGGCCTTACCAGAAGCAGAAGTCTGTATATCCCATAAAACCATGAGCAGATTAAACCTCTTTTCTTTATAAATGACTCACTCTCAGATAGTTCATTATAACAATGTGAAAAAGAACTACTACAGAAAATTGGTATCATCAGAGAAGTGGGGCTTTGCTCTAAAGATACCTGAAAATGTGGAAATGACCATTAAACTTGGTAATGGGCAGAGGTTGGAGTCGTTTGGAGGGCTCAGAAAAAAAAGACAGGAAGATGAGAGAAAGTTCAGAACTTTTTTGAGACTTGTTGAATGGTTTTGACCAAAATGCTGAAGTCCAGGCTGAGAAGGTCTCAGATGAAGATGAGGAACTCACTGCAAACTGGGGTAAAGGTCACACTTGCTATGCTTTAGCAAAGAGTCTGGTGTCATTGTGCCCCTGCTCTAGAGATCTGTGGAACTTTGAACTTGAGGGAGATAATTTAGAATAGCTGGCAGAATACATTTCTAAGCAGCAAAGCATTTAAGATGTGGCCTAGCTGTTTCTAAAATCCTATGCTCATTTGCATAAATAAACAAAAAAATACCTGAAACTGGAACTTACATTTAAAAGGGAAGAACATAAAATTTTGAAAAATTTGCAGCCTGGCCATGTGGTAGAAAAGAAAAGAAAAGAAAAAAAAAACATTTTCGGGGAGAAAATGCAGCCCGTTGCAAAAACTTGCTTAAATAAAGAAGAGCCAAATGTTAATAACAAACACAATGGGGAAAATCCCTCCAATTTATTTCAGAGATCTTCACAGCATCCCCTTCCATCACAGGCCTGGAGGCTTAGGAGGGAAAAATGGTTTCATGGGCCAGGCCCAGGGCTCCACTGCTCTGTGCAACATTGGGATAAGGCTGCCTGTGTCCCAGCCACTTAAACTCTAGCTGTGGCTAAAAGGGTCCCAAATACATCTCAGGCTGCTACTCCAGAGGGTACAAGCCAGAAGCTGCCAAGATTTCCATGTGGTGTTAAGCCTGTGGGTGGAAAGAGGGCAAGAGCTGAGGCTTGGGGGCCTCTGCCTAGATTTCAGAGAATGTATGGAAATGCCTGGATGTCCAGGCAGAAATCTGCTGCAGAGGCAGAGCCTACATGGAGAAGAACCTCTACTAGGTCAGTGCAGAGGGGAAATGTGAATGTGAAGTTCCCACATGGGGTCCCCACTGGGGCACTACCTAGTAAGGATAAGGCCACCATCATCCAGACCCCAGAATGATACATCCACCAACAGCTTGCACCATGCACCTGGAAAAGCTGCAGGCACTCAATGCAGTCTGTGAAATCAGCCTTGGGGACTGTACCCTGCAGAGCAACAGGGGTGGAGCTACCCAAGGCCAGGGGGGCCAACCCTTGCATCAGTGTGGCCTGGATGTGAGACATGGAGTAAAAGAAAATTATTTTGAAGCTTTAAGATTTAATGACTGTCCTCCTGGGTTTCAGACTTCATGGGGCCTGTAGCCCTTTGTTTTGGCTGATTTCTTCCTAATGGAATGGGTGTATTTACCCAATGCCTGTAACCACATTGTATCTTGGAAGTAAATAGCTTGTTTTAGATTTTACAGGTTCATAGGTGGAAGGGAATTACCTTGTCTCAGATGAGATTTTGGACTGTGGACTTTTGAGTCAATGCTGAAATGAGTTAAGACTGGGGGACTGTTCAGAAGGGATAATTGTATTCTGCAATGTGAGAACATGAGATTTGGGAGGGGTCAAGGGTAGAATTATATGGTATGGCTCTGTGTCCTCACCCAAATCTTATGTTAAATTGTGTTCTCCAGTGTTGGAGGTAAGGCCTGGTGGGAGGTGATTGGACCATGGGGGTGGTTTCTAATGGTTTAGCACCATCCTCCTAGTGCTGTCTCATGATAGAATTCTCACAAGATCTGGTTGTTTGAACGTGGGTAACACCTACCCCCTTTGCTGGCTCTCTCTTCTGCCAGCTATGTGAAGATGTGTCTGTGCCCTTTTCACCTTCCATCATGATTGTAAGTTTCTTGAGCCTTCCCAGGAGCAAAAACCTATACAGCCCACAGAACCCTGAGCCTATTAAACCTCTTTTCTTTAAAAATTACTCAGTCTCAGGTAGTACTTCATAGTAGTGAGAGAATGGATCAGTACACCAGTGAAATCATATGTTGCTGAGTTTTTCTTTTGGGCAGAGTATTGGTTATGATTCAATATCTTTTCTACTTATAGATATGTTCAAATTTTCTGTTTGTTCATGATTCAGTTTTGGTAGGTTGTGTGTTTCTAGTAATTTGTCCATTTTATTTACATTATAGTTATATTATGTTTTATAAATATAAACTATATCTTTTTTCTCCAACAACCTATTGTTTAGATTGAGACAATATTCCTGCAATTTTTCTAATTTTTTTCTTTAGCCAAACATTACCCTCTAATGAGAAGGAATTAGGGTTTTTTCAATCATCAGATTCCCTTCTACATATTTGTGGTCTTTATGATTTTTTCTATTCTACTTGTTTAAATACATGCAAATAGTGCTTTGGGCTTCCAATATCTGCAGCCACAACATCATAGTAAATAAGTTAACCACAGAATAATGTCAGTGTTTGGTCTGAACAATTGCACTTCAGTTGCTTTCTAATCTAGATTTGGTGTTAGTATCATAAGTATGTTTTTTCTTATTATTATTATTTTTTTTGGAGCCAGAGTCTTGCAGTGTCACCCAGGCTGGAGTGCAGTGGCAGATCTCAGCTCACTGCAAACTCCACCTCCCAGGTTCAAGTGATTCTTGTGCCTCAGCCTCCTGAGTAACTGGGACTACAAGCACATGCCACCACACCTGGCTACTTTTTTTGTTTTTAGTAGAGACGAGGTTTCGCCATGTTGGGTAGGCTGGTCTTGAACTCCTGGCCTCAAGTGATCAACCCACCTCAGCCTTCCAAAGTGCTAAAATTAGAGGTGTGAGCCACGATGCCCAGCCAGTCATAAGTTTCTTTCTGATTAGGTAAAACTTATGCTCTCTTGTTACAAGTAGTCTCTTGAATTTCAAGATTTTAGAATATTTTCCCACTTATATAACAACTATTTAATATATCTACTTATAATCACTCTACCTTAATGGTCACATTTCTTATATCAATACAACATGTATTATAGAAAGTCATATTCTAAAAATACATATTTCCCTTGTGCTTTGTATTTCTTTTTGCAGTTTGTATTTGAAAATAACTATGAATTAATCAGAAGTTGCAAGAATAATACAGAAAATCCTGAAGTGCAAATTACAGATGAGTTTCTTGATCACAGATTATTGTCCTGTCCTGTTCATATTTCTTTTTTTAAAGGAATTACAGCCAAATTTTTGTAGAAAGACAGCAAGAAAGGTACTGAATTATATGCAAGACTTTGACATTGTGGTAAGTAGAATACCCCTGCAATGATGTTAGTGTCCTCATTTTTGGAATATGTAAATGTTTTATACTACATGGAACAGATAATTTGCAGATGTAATTAATGTAGAGAAATTATCCTGGTTATCCAAAAACAAGGAATTTTTTTTTTTTGAGTCTGAGATACAGCAGAAAGAGAAGCCAGAAAGTTTAAAAGCATGTGAAGAACCTGAGTCACCATTGCTGGAGGGAGCCCTATGGAAAGCATGAGAAGAAATGTAAGAGCCTTTTGAAGCACAGATTGATCCCATCTGATAACCAACAAGGAAATGGGGCTTTAGGCATATAATTCCCAAGGAACTGTATTCGTCCAGCAGACAACATGAGCTCAAAAGTATATTTTCCTCCAGATTCTCCGGGAAGAACACAGCACTACAAACATGATTTCAGCCTCCTGAGATCCTATGCAGATGTCCTAGTTTAGTACACCCAGACTTCTGATCTAAAGAAGCTGTGAGATAATATATTTCTCTTGTTTTAAGCTGGTACATTTATTTTTTTATGTCAGCGATAGAAAATTAATACAGACATTAAGTATTTGTGTGACTTTGGAAAAGCCAGCTAAATTATTTAAGCATTGTGCCCTAGCTAATTTATCAAATGTTTATTGAGTGTTTTGTATGTATTGTTAGTCATTCAAAGATACATGTGAAAAGAAGCCAAGTTGAATAGTATACAATCTCTATCCTTATCTAGAGGAAAAACTATAGAGATGATGGCTAAGGTCTCTTTAGACACTAAAATTTTATACATAAACTTTAAATATTTATTATATGAGTGCCAATAGTAATTTAGGAAAGCTGAATGATCGTAGTTAATTTCCCCGTTAAGATGGCTTGTGACTCGTGGTACTGAGATTTGAATGCTTTAAATATTGATGGTAATTCTAAACTTTTCATAGATTACTGTAAAACAATACCAATAGTTAAATATTAATAAAATAATAATAATAAATAGAAAATTGAAATAGATTACATGGAAAAATAGCATCAAGAAATATGCACTATAAATCTAGTATTGAAGAAATTAAAAATAAACATTATTAGAAAAGTTATAACAAATTTTTTATTTGGTTTGAAAATTCTATATATTATTTCAGGAAAAAATGTAATTTTATTTATATTAGAGAACATTTATCATCGGTAAGATATTTTGGATTTTTAACATTTTATCTTGATGTCCGTAGATTTAGGTGGTATTTTAAAAGAAGAATGGCGCAATTCCTGAACACAAAATAACTTTCGCAGTTTGAATACTTTCAGAAAGTATTACACTGATAATAAACTGTTGTTTTTAATTTAATATCTAAATTGAAATTAAGTACTCCAAAGGTTATTTTTCAATTGTACAGGATTTAAAAACCATATAAGGAGCCATCTTTATAGATAATAATTTTACCATTTAATAAATGCATCAAACATTGCAAAATATATATATTTTTTTAATGAAAAAGACTAGCAGGGCTTTTGCTCCTTTTGGAACAAATCATTAAAACCTAACAACAACTTGAAGCCTTATTTATAGAATGGCATTTATTATAATATTTCTGAGTTTGTCAGTCATGCAACTAATTAATCAACTTAGGACTGTGTCTCCAAAGATAGAGTTTAAAAATAAAATCAATATGTACTTTTATTTTAACTAACTGAATATTACAGGTAAGGTTTTAGTAAACATTTTGTAGTTAGCAATATAAAATTAAAATACAAAAATATTTATGGCAGATGGCCCAGAAACTATGCTTTGTTTGTCTGATTAAAATGCATATTTACCAATCACTTCCAAATAATTTTTCTAGAACTTCTATGTGAAATGTGCGCTTTTTGATTTTAAAAAATCAGGAAATAATACATGTGCTTAATGTAAGAGAGATGAGTTCAACTGAGCTTTAACTGGATGAGTCATGCATCATTTGCATTGCCATTAACTAACAATCATCCTTTAATTCCCCTTGGCTTTCACATCTCAAACATTCCATGTGCCTAAAGTTACCCAAACTCCCACAGCAATTATCAGAACAAAACAAGTGGACCAATTCTTCAAGAAAAAGAAAGAACTGGAACCCAAAATGATCATATATGCATTATACCTCCCTCTACCACACACTGCTTAAAAGCACTGGCTATCTGTTATTATTTGTAATAATATAGAAGCTAGATCTCTGCTCAGCTGTACCTGTAGATCCTACAGTTTTTTTTTTAATATTAACAATGCATTATTTATAAATAAAATTTTATTACTAAAAAGATTAATATTGCATACACTCTGAGAAATTTGGTGACAGCTAGATAAAATATAAGTTCAGGTGAAATACTATCTATAAATATATGAAAAAATAGCAGGGCTACCAGCATTTCTGTTAATGGCATAAGATCAGATAGTATGAAAAAACATTGGGGACTAGTTTGGTTTTTTTTGTTTTTTGTTTTTTTTTTGAGACAAAATTTCGCTCTGTCGCCCAGGCTGGAGTGCAGTGGTGCTATCTCGGCTCACTGCAAGCTCTGCCTCCTGGGTTCGCGCCATTCTCCTGACTCAGCTTCCCGAGTAGCTGGGACTACAGGCACCCACCACCACGCCTGGATAATTTTTTTGTATTTTTAGTAGAGACGGGGTTTCACCGTGTTAGCCAGGATGGTCTCGATCTCCTGACCTCGTGATCTGCCCGCCTCGGCCTCCCAAAGTACTGAGGTTACAGGCGTCAGCCACCGCGCCTGGCTGGGGACTAGTATTTTTTTAATGACATGTTACCAAATGAAAAGAAAGTGTGCCCTTAAAAAAAATAATATTGGCTATTTGTTTTGGCCAGTTAGTGGAATTCTATTTTGTACCACCACCTATTCCTGCATTGTTAAACATGCACTGGGCGCCCTAGGTAACCAGGGCAATCTTGGCTTAGGTAACATAGGAAGAAATACAGTGATGCATGACCTCAATACTTCTTGGCCCTCCTAGAAGTACATTTATCCAGGAATTAGACTTTTGAAGAAAAATGTTATTTCACATGTTCGAGAGCAATTGACTTTAAGATTGTGAAAGGAAAATAAAAAACCGAGACCCCAATTAACTATGACAAGAGAAAAAAAGCTGTAAGAAGAGTCATGTAAGAACTGGCCTTTCCTTTTGTTCCTAAACAGATACCTACAGATAAAAGGTTAAATATCTCCACAGGTGGCTATTCTATATTCACATTATGTTATATAAAGTGCAAATTTGATTTACCGAGCATGAGACAAGTACACAATTGGCTATTCCCCTACCTGCTTCTTTTCTATTGCAACATGTGGATTACCAAACCCTTCCTCTATTCCCTCCAGCCCGCTTTTCCCTATAAATATTGAATTTCTCAAAGTAATCTCTGAAGAAAGACACAGATCATAGGCTGTTTCTGTTATTTTATTTTATTTTTTTCTCCTTGGCATTGTCCTTGACTTTGGTGAAATAAACTTCTAAATTGTCTCAGTTGCTTTTTGGTTTATAGGATAAACAATTTCCTATACTTAAAATTGTGAAATGGCATACCTGATTCACATTATAGTAAAATGATTTGTATTTGGGATGTTGCTCAAAATATTGGATAAAATGACTAAAAATGTTTACAATTACGTGAGATTTTTTTCAATGGGCTGTATTATACTTTCTGGGAGACAACATGATTTTCTATGATACTATTGATGAAGCATGAAGTATGGCACAAGAAAGACCAGCTACACCACTATGTAACCCTAGAAAAATGATTTAACCTGTACATGAATTTGCTCCTTGATCTATAAGTTGGTAATGTTAAATAATTAATGCTTAAAACTGTTGCCATGTATTAAATGAAATAATGTATATTAAGCAAATAGAGGATATAAGCCTCAACAAAGATGAATCTTATTTGTTTTATGTAGTTCTTACTTATAATGAGACTATTATTTAGTTATATTTTAAATTTATACCAATATATAATTTTCAAAGCACATTTATTACTACAGTTGATTCCCTCAAATTAATTCTATGCAGTTGGCAGAGTTATAATGACCCCTGATTTTCCTACCAAACAATGTTACAGAAAAAATACAGAAAAAGTATACAGAAAAGTTAAGTGACTTGATTGTGATTTTATGGTGGCAGATATGTCACTTAAACGTAATCAGTCTTCTACATTAAAGATTGCTTCTTTTGTATTGCATAACACTGCCTTTCTAGAACATAGATGCACTATTAGAAAATAATAACCCTAAGAGTTGAAACATAACAGATTTCATAACTCACCAGTATTGGGAAGAAATTTTCTGAGAAATGACTAGGTTGAGCCCTTATTTTCCAAATTTAGTATCTGTAATATTCAGGTAATGGATGATATCTGCAATCTGTCAATCCACATGTTAGATGAGTGAAAATGGTATTTTATTTGTGTCATATGAAATAAAAATCTTGTACTTTTCTTTTAAATCTTAAAATACCAGTAACCTATTCATTTAAGGTGTTTAGATATAAACTGCCTGAGCATAGACAAGAAGATATATTAAGATTTAGCCTATTTTTTGTTTGTGTGTACAAAAATAGTCAAACTGTAAAATATTTGAAGAGATTTATTCTGAGTCCAATATAAGGGACAAATGGACTGTGACACAGCCCTCAGGAGATCCTGAGATTATGTGACCAATTGGTCAGGGTACAACTTGATTTTATACATTTTAGGGAGACATAAGGCATTAATCAATACATGTAAAATGTACATTGGTTTGGTCCAGAAAGGTGGGATGGCTCGAATTGGGGACTTCCAGGTCATAGGTAGATTTAAAGATTTTCTGATTGACAATTGATTGAAAGAGTTATTGTCAATAGAAAGAAATGTCCAGGTTACAAAAAACAGGTTGTGGAGACCAAGGATTTATCATGCACATGAAGCCTCTAGGTAGCAGGTTTCAGACAGAATAGATTGTAAATGTTTCTTATCAGACTTAAAGAGTTTATTCTATTAGTAATTCCAAAAGGGAGGAGGGTATAATGAGGTATCCTTGGTTCTTTCCCATCATGGTCTGAGCTAGTTTTTCTCGTTAATTTTGGAATGCTCTTGGCCAAAAGATGTGGTCCATTTAGATGCTTGGCTGGGGGGCTTAAAATTTTATTTTTCGTTTAAATTTGGTTTCTTAACATTAATGTTTATACAAGCTATGAACTGAATTTCTTCATTATATCAATATTTCCTTTCTCTGAAAGCAAGAATAAACTAGAAATAATTAATAATTTATTATTTTTTCTAGTTATTTTCTGTGTCAGTTTGTTGAATTATTTATTCAGTTAATCTTTATATTACACTCTACCTACCATATACAGGAAATTATAGTTATCCAATGTTGAGCAACAACAGGTCCAATCTCAGGTCACATGGGGCTTTGGATGAAGATTGAAGATAACATAAAATGAGGCTGAAATGACAAACAGGGTTAAAATCATACAAGAATTTAAAGGCCAAGTTAAATATATCTGTCTTTATTTCAATAGCAGCAAGAAAGTCTTGAATAAGTTTAGCAAGGGAATACATCACGCACATGGGAAAGAGAAGACAAAATGAAATTGGTGTTTGTTGTTAAAACATTTTTTTCTGAGGAAGATCATATGTCATATATCTCAGACATTTTCTTCACTGTAAATAAATTGCACTAGAAATATAACTAGCATTCTTAAAATGCATTTTTAGCAATTTGTTAAAGTATAGCATACACATAGAAAAATACATAAAAATATCACATCAATGAATTATCACAGTAAAGCACATCTATGTAATAAACATAAAAAAAATAGGTTGCTACCAACATCCAAAATAGCCCTTCAGCCTTCTTCAGAACCAAAATATCTTCCCTCTTCTACAAAGGTAGCTAGTATACTGGCTTCTAAAATTATAGCATAGTTTTGTCTTTTTTAAAAGCTTTTGAGCTTTATATCAATGGAAATGTAAGTATGTATTATTTGTGTCTAGCTTCTTTTGATCATTGTGATCAAAAGAATTGATCACAATTCTTTTCATTCATTTATGTCCTTTTCATTCATTTATATTGTTACATGTAATTATTTATTATACTTTCTGTATATTTTTCCATGAAATAAATATACCAAAATTTATGTATAAATTTTACTGTTGGACGTTTGGAATGTTTACAGTTTGAGCTGCATAGTTTTGCAATGAATGTTCTTTAACATATATGTTAGTTTGTATAATCATAAATCTTTTTGGGGTATATACATAAAAATAAAATAGAATGGTCATTGGCTATGCATGCATTTTAATTTGGTAGATAATGATGAACAGTTTTCCAAAGTGGTTATGTAAATGCATACATCCACTGTTCATACATTAGAGTTTCAGTTGCTTTACATCTTTGCTTATATTGCTATTATTTTTTAATTTGCCATTCAATCAAGAGGGTCAATCCACTGGAAAAAATGTAACAGTTTTAACATGTATCTCCCAAATAACAGAGTTTCCAAATATACAGCCATATTTTATAGAATCAAAATGAAAATAGATAAATCCATCATCACGGTGGGAAATTTTAAAACAGCACACTCAGTAACTGATAAAACAAGAAAATAATAAAAACATTTCATCTCCAGATGATTCAATTAACAGAATTTACAAAAGTGACCCAATTTGCAAATTGAAATAGTTGTAAATAACTGTTTAATAACTGATATTTTCAAATGTACGTTATACTTCTACCCAAACTGACCACATGTAAGGCTATTAAAAATATCTAAAGAAATTTTAAAGCATTGAAATCATTCAAGGTATATTTTATGGCTACAGTGGAATTAAGCCTAAAAATTAATAATGCAATAAAAAAAGTTCAACTATTTAGAAATTTAACAAAATACATCAAAGCAATTTATCAAATTAGAAATCATAATGAAAATTAAAACATTTTGATTTGTAAACTAATGATCATACAGCATAACAAAACTTGTGGAATGCAGCAAGTCTGTGCAGAGAAGAAAATATATATTCAAAAATTTATAAATAAGAAAAGATGGTAAGTCAAAAATCAATAACCAAATATTTATATCAAGAAGTGAGTAAAAGGACATCTTATTGTATACCAAAAATGTAGAAGTTAGAAAATAAAAAGAGTATTTATTAAATACAAAATAAACAATAGAAGTTAGTTTATTAACAAAGCCAAAAGTGGATTTTTTGAAAGATTAACATTTGATAGACATTTAACCAAATTGAGCAAAATTAAAATACATAAATAATTAAAGACACAAATTTGAAATACCAGGGATAAAAAGGTGCTATCACAAGATGTTTTACAAATTTTATAAAGCTTTTTAAATAGCATAATGAAAAATTTTAAAGTACAAATAAAATTTTGCATAAAATTGAATAATTCCTAGAAAAACACAAATTATCAGAATTGACACAAGATAAAATAAAAATATATAAATAGCACTGTATCTATTAAAGTCAGTAAATTGGCAAATAAATGTTTCCCCACAAAATATCTTTAGTGCCAGATGTATTCACTTCTGAATTTTTCCAAACTTTTAATAAAATGTGACACTAATTGTACACAACTTTCTTGGAGAAACAAAAAAGGGGAGAAGGAAAGAGAGAGAGGTTGGATATAGAGAGTAATGGGGTCACTGTAATTTTGTGAATAACAAATAACAGGAAAGGAAACTTAGGGGTAATCACGTTCATAAACATAAATTCAATAATTCTAAAAAATAACAAATAGAATCCAGTGATTTTTTAAAGGTACAATACATCATTAACAAGTTGGTATTATTTTCTCATGCAGGGCAGACCACATTTTAACAACAATTACCTTCTTTTATCACATTAAGATAATAAAGTAGTAAGTCATCTTCATAGATGCAATGCAGAATAAGGATTTGAGAAAATTTCACCATCATCAATGTAAAAAAAAAACTATGGTAAGCAAGGAATATAAGGAATTTCTTTTATCTGACAAATGGTATATATTTAAAATCTACAGCAAATATAAAATTTAATTAGTAAAATACGACATTTCCCTATTTCCCCTCTCATGATTAAAAATGACATAAAAATGCCCATTATTCTCTCAATTCAAACCTATACTGGATATCTTATCCAGTGTACTATGAAAAAATAAAGCTCATTATTTGTAGACAACATGAATATGAACATAAGAAATTAGAAATATTTGTGTGACAAATTGAAATGTAAATAATATAGCAATGTCTTTGAATTAAGATAAACTATAAAAATATTCATATAGATAAAACCAAAATGTTTTCCTACATTTCACCATACAGAAAAATTCCAACTAGATCATATAACTAAATTTAAAATAAAAAGTATTCTAAAACAAAAATATAGAAGTATTTCTTCATACATTTGAGACAGCAAAGATTACTTAAACAGTACATAAACTGTTAACCAAAATGGAACAATTGATGTAATACATTAAAATCAAGAGTTTCTCTCCCTTTTACATGCCCTTAAAATATAAAATGTATAGAGTAGTAGTTTATATTATAATTAAATATATTCAATATAAAATTTATTTCCAGAACTAATAAAAATCTTTAAAATGCCAGAGGAAAATCCGATAGAAAAAGGGACAAAAACCATTTAAATAGAGACTTTTAAAAGTGGTTATTCAAATGACCAATAAACCTATCAAAAAGTGCTCAACTCCATTAGTGATCATGAAAATGTGTATAAAAGCCACAGTGACATATAACCACAAACAACAAAGAATGGCTAGAAATAAAAATAATGATAAATGTTGGCAAAGGTATAGATTTTCTCTAATTGTCTTTTATGCTGGTAGGAGTATAAATTGTTTATATACATTTTGGAAAGTCATTTGGCAATATATTTTAAAGCTCAACATATGAATAATCTATGATCTAACAATTCTACTTCTGGGTGCAAAATAGATAGATTGTTTATAATTCACATTCTACTTGAAATTTCTGTCAAGATTTACTGCTGTTAACTCACTCTCAGAAGACTCTTTCCACTTCATTTTCCATATTTTTCTTCCCTCCTGTTTTTTTCAATCTTGATGATCATTCCTTGATAGTATTTCTCTTTGTTGGGAGATTATGTCCTATGGGTATCACATGTTTCTGTCTATCTTATGAGTACAGGAATTACTGCCTTTGTTCCATTCTACCTTTCAAAAAATGTGTGGTAAAAACCTTTGAAGATATAGTGTTTCCCTTTGGAGCAAAGAGTATCTTTTCTTAAAGCATTGGAAGATATATGTTCTCCCTTAAGAGCATTAGACGGACATGCTTATGGGTCATAGTACAATACTGAGGTCTCCTAAACTCACAATTGTTCTCCCATAATGAACCCACTATATGTGCAAGTATCATCTGGCAAATGTCATATGGCTATATGAGAACTAGGGGTGGGATAACTGATGCCAATGCTCATGCTCTGGCTATAGCTATTGTCATGAGCAATATAGTTCTGTGCCTCTGTATCAGAAGTGTCACAGATTCTGAGAGCATTCATAAAACTGGCTGACTTTGTTAGCTTGTTAGGTAGAATAAAATCTCAGACCCTGGCATCGTTTGGATTTGTGTCCCCAAGCAAATCTCATGTCAAATTGGAGGAGGGTCCTGGTGACAGGTGACTGAATCATGGGGGTGGATTTCCCCCTTGCTGCTCTTGTGATAATGAGTGAGTTCTCATGAGATTTAATGATTTAAAAGTGTGTGGCACTTCCCCCTTCACTCTCTCTCTCTCTTGCTCTGCCATGGATAGATGTGCTTGCTTCTCCTTTACATTCTACCATGAATATAAGTTTTCTGAGGCCTCCCAGTCATGCTGTCATGCTTTCTATTAAGCCTACAGAACAGAGACAATTAAACCTATTTTCTTCATAAATTACTCAGTTTCAGGTAGTTCTTTATAGGAGTATGAGAACAGACTGATACAGAAAAATTGTACCAAAAGTGGGGTACTGCTTTAAAGATACCTGAAAATGTGGAAGTGACTTTGGAACTGGGTAACAGGAGAGGTTGGAACAATTTGGAGGGATAAGAAGAAGACAGGAATATGTGGGAAAATTTGGAACTTCCTAGAAACTTGTTGAATGATTTTGACCAGAATAGTGACAGTAATATTAACAATGATGTCTGGGCTGAGGTGGTCTCAGATGGTGATGACAAACTTACTGGGAACTGAAGTAAAGGTCACAATTGCTATGCTTTAGCAAAGAGACTGGCTCTAGAGATCTGCCCCTGCTCTAGAGATCTGTGGAATTTTGAACTTCAGTGAGATGATTTAAGGTATCGTGTGGAAGAAATTTCTAATCAGCAAAGCATTCAAGATGTGACCTGGCTATTTCTGAAGGTGTATGCTTGTATGTATGAAAAAACAGATTGTCTGAAACTAGAACTAATATTGAAAAGGAAAGTAGAGCATAAAAGATTGGAAAATTTGCAGCCTGACCATGTGGTAAAAAAGAAAAAAAAAAAAAATTTGGTGGAGAGAAATTCAAGCCAGCTGCAGAAATTTGCATAAGTAAACAGGAGTGGAATGTTAATAGCTAAGACAGTGGGGAAGAATGTCTCCAGGGAATTTCAGAGACCTTCATGATAGGTTGTCCCATCACAAGCATGGAGGCCTAGGAGGAAAAAATAATTTTATTTATTTATTTTTTTATTTTTTTTTATTTTATTTTTTTTTGAGACGGAGTCTCGCTCTGTCGCCCAGGCTGGAGTGCAGTGGCGCGATCTCGGCTCACTGCAAGCTCCGCCTCCCGGGTTCACGCCATTCTCCTGCCTCAGCCTCCCGAGTAGCCGGGACTACAGGCGCCTGCCACCACGCCCGGCTAATTTTTTTGTATTTTTAGTAGAGACGGGGTTTCACCACGTTAGCCAGGATGGTCTCGATCTCCTGACCTCGTGATCCACCCGCCTCGGCCTCCCAAAGTGCTGGGATTACAGGCGTGAACCACCGCGCCCGGCCAGGAAAAAATAATTTTGTGAGCCAGGGCCAGGGCCCAGTTGCTCTATGCAGCCTCAGGACATGGTATCCTGCATCCCAGCCATTCCAGCTCCAGCTGTGGCTAAAAGGGGCCAAGATACAGTTTGTACCATTGTTTCAGAGAGTGCAAGCCCCAAGTGTTGGTGGTTTCCACATGGTGTTGGGCCTTTGGGTGTGCAGAAGTCAAGTTGAGGCTTGGGAATGTCTGCCTAGATTTCAGAAGATGTAAGGAAACACCTGACTGTCCAGACAGAAGTCTGCTGTAGAGAAAGGGCCCTCATAGAGAACCTCTACTAGGGCAGTGCAGAGGGGAGATGTGGAGTGGGAGCCCCTACACAGAGTCCCCACTTGGGCATTGCCTAGTGGATCTCTGAGGATAGGGCCATCATTCTCCAGAACCCAGAATTGTACATCCACCAACAGCTTGCACTGTTCACCTGGAAAATCTGCAGACACTCAATGCCAGCTCAGGAAAGCAGCCTTGGGGACTGTACCTTGCAGAGCCAAAGGGGCAGAGATGCCCAACATCTTGGGAGCCCACCTCTTGCATCATCATGGCCTGGATATGATACCTGGAGTCAAAGAATATCATCTTGAAACTTTAAGATTTAATGACTGCCCTGCTGAGTTTCAAACTTGCATGGAGCCTGTAGCTTCTTTGTTTTGGTTGATTTCTCTATCTTGGAATGGAAGCATTTACAAGATCCTTGTACTCACATTGTGTCAGACATAATTAACTTGTTCTTGATTTTACAGGCTCATAGTTGGAAGGGACTTACCTTGTCTTAGATGAGACTTTGGACTGTGGACTTTTGAGTCAATGCTGAAATGAGTTAAGACTGGGGGACTGCTAAAAAGGGATAATTGTATTCTGCAATGCTAGAAGGACATGGGATTTGGAAAAGGCTGGGATGGAATAATATGGTTTAGGTTTGTGTCCCCACCCAAATCTCATATCAAATTAGAGGAGGGATCAGATGGGAGGAGACTGGATCATGAGGGCAGAATTCCCCCTGACTGTTCTTGTGATATTGAGTGAGTTCTCATGAGATCAGATGGTTTAAAAGTGTCTGGCACTTCCCTCTTTGCTCTCTCTCTCACCTGCTCTGTCATGTGAGAATGTGCCTGCTTCCCCTTTGCTTTCCACCATGATAGTAAGTTTCCTGAGGCCTTCCAGTTAGGCTTCCTGTTAAGCCCATGGAACTGTGAGCCAATTAAGCCTGGTTTCTTTGTAAATTGGCCAGTCTTAGGTAGTTCTTTATATCAGTGTGGAAATGGAATAATACATATCATTTATAGATTTTAACTCTTAAGCTCTTCTAAACCCAAAATTAGATGTTTTGTGCCCCGTAACTTTATTCTTAGCCTTCTTCTTATACTATAGTTTAATTTACACCAATGCCTTATCATTTATCATGTTAATCTAAACATATTGTTTATTACACTTAGCTCCAAATATCCAACTTCTGTAGTGAATCTTTAGTTGGTTGTCTCTCTGGCGTCTCAAATTCAGAATATCCCTTTATGAAACCTTCATACTTTCATAAAAATTTGCTCCTCTTTTCATATTCCATATTACGGTGGTTACCAACATCCACAATGTTACTCAGAGATGAATTGTATAAGTTATCCTCAATGTATCATTTTCTGTTACTCCCAATGAAGCTTCAAATTCTTTTCAATATTTTCTTTCCATGTCTTAAATCAATCATTTGCTCTCCATTTTCATGGTCACTAACTTTGTTCATGCAATAATTCTTGCGTGTTCAATTTACTGCTACACTCAATTTAATTATCTTAGTGCCTTTGTTCTTGTTTCTCGTCCACTCTGTTATACCTTTTTCTGATAGAATAATTGTTAGAAAATGTGCTCAGAATAATATATTAACTAGTTACAACTATTTTGAAAAGACATGAATTACTCTATGTCTTTTAATAGAGCCTGAAAATAACAACATGTGGGAGTATTTTAGCATGGCATATAATTTATGTTCAGAATAATGACTCATATTCATAAAAAATGTTGTTACATACACTAATTTATCTGCTTCAAAAAGTATAAAAGTGAGAAAAATTTTAATATTATAATTTAATCACACAAGCATGCTCACACACACCACCCAAAAGTGATTGAGTTTATTTAGAAAATCCACTAATTTGGAAGGCCAATTTCTCTACAGTGCCACATAAACAGGATGTGGTTATACTTTAATATCTTCAGAAATTATAAACACATTAAGAATAGCATTGTCAAATAAGTCAGCAGTGAGGAAGATATAAAATATCATTCTCTTAACTGAAAGGTGTTAATACATATGGTGTAATGACATTTAAGAAAAGGAACAACAAATACAAATTGTTCATTGATGTCTTTCTATACCACAAATGTCAGGGAACCTAAAATATTGGTTTCATAATTTTTAGGGATCTATCTTAAGTGTTTATCTTTTGAATACAAAAGATAGAAATTATGTTAGTTTTTGATTTCTAACTATAACAAGTTACCATACACTTAGTAGGTTAAAACAACATAAATTTATGATTTTATAGTTTTGGAAGTCAGATGTCTGAAATGAGTATCACTGGGCTAAAATTAAGGTGTCAACAGGGCTATGTTCCTTTCTGGTATCTTTAGAAGACAATCTATTTTCTTGCCCTTCCCAACATCTAGAGGCTACCCAATTTATTTTACTCATGGCCTCCATCCATCTTCAAAGCCAGATACAACTCAAGTTTTTTTGTTTGTTTGTTTGTTTTTTTACATTGTACCACTCGGACCTTGTTTTCTGCTTTTCTCTTTCACTTTTAAGCATCCTTGTGATTACGTTGTACCTATCCAGTTAATTCCAGATAATCTTTTTTAAGGCCAACTGATTAGCAGACTTAACTCCATCTGTAACCTTATTTTTTCCCATAAAATATAACATTTATAAGTTCTAGAGTTGAGGACTTGGAAATATTTGGGGGACCATTATTCTTCCTACCCAGGGACATCTTTGGGGTTTTTTTATAAATGTAACACGCCATATTAATGTTTAAAAATCCAATCTCAAAAGTAATTTACCTCTTAATTGCTCTCTCTTTTTTTCTCCTTTCTTTTCCCCCTCCTTCCCTTTCTCGATCCACACAATTGTAAATACTACCAGAGAATATTTCAAAAAATATATTTTAGAAATATTATCAGCCAACTAACTACGGTCTTTTCTGAGCCATTATATATTACTTTGTGTGGTAATGATTTTTGAATATATTTGTTTTCTTCATTAGATCATGTGCCTCAGACACTTCAGCCTTCTCTTAGTCTTATGTTTCTAAATTTAATATGCTGCCAACAGGTGGAGCACAAGATGAATGTGGTTTGACTGTATAGAAGACTTTACAGATTAATAGAGGCCTTGACATGCTAAGAAGTTTGCCTAAGGTCACCAAGAATACTCTCTGTCTTCTGTCTATAAACATTCCTCATCAGTACAAAAAACCAACAATGTGACACTTATTCATTCAAAAGTATTTGTTGA
Source organism: Homo sapiens (assembly GCF_000001405.40). NCBI lineage: Eukaryota > Metazoa > Chordata > Mammalia > Primates > Hominidae > Homo > Homo sapiens. The sequence continues at coordinate 3,883,334 of NC_000024.10, read as the reverse complement.
GGATTGTATGTATGACAGGTATTTTTTGTAAGCACTGAAACTCCATTAGCAATCAAAATGGACAAAATCCCTGCTGTCACAGAAAACATGTCCTATTGTCTAGAGAGTTTCAATAAATAAAATAATCAAAGCATTAAGTGCTAGGAAAAATATGGAGCAGGGTAAGAGGTATGGAGAGACAGTGGAGATAATATTAAGTAGAGTGAAGTTTACAATATTAAATAGTATGGTCAGAGTAGACCTCTCTAGAAAAGTGGGCTGTCTACATATCTTTATTAATCTTATTAATGAATGGGTAGAGATATAGGGCAAATAAAACATAGTCAAGGAGAAATAGAACACTTTCTAATTTTACTCTCTGGGCATAACAGGAATAAGGAGAATAGAAAGTGATGGTGACGGTTGAGAGAAAAGATGAGAATCTTGAAAGCCTTTAAAGAGGTTGTGGTACATTTATATGTCTCATTTATACATTAAGGACAAATGAAGGATGCTATTTTTCCATTATCCTGGAATCATTGGACATTAAAATAATAGGAATTTTCTCACAGTGGCACAGCTCCAATTAGAGATCAATAACCCCCATACAAGTGAGTCTAAGATAAAATGTCATATTACTGACAGTATTTAAGCAGAGACAAATGGGCTTCTTCCTCAGGGTCTAAAAACACTTTCATCGTTGCAGCACGTGGGATGGAGACTAGCTATAAAGATAACTTCTTGGTTCTTAGAAGAGCAATTTATGGTCATATGTGAATTGATGAGTCTTTTCTCCTATGTATTTTTTCAAATTGTTTTTTTCTATCTTTCAAATAGCAAGTTTTCTAATTCATTCATTCATTAATATTTTAATCAAAATATTATAGAGATAAAATTAAGATATCAAATACTACTATAAGTCCTATACCTAAAAACATCAGTATACAATGTCACCTATACGCAATGCTTGTTTCTTTTTCCCGGAGTTGATTATTTTCATCAAATATAGCTATTTCACTTGATGTTTGCTTTTATTTAAATACCTACACACTGCTATTTCTTGGTTTATCAATTTTCAATACCCTCTATTAACTTCTCATTTCTTTGATAAAGACATTATTCTCAAGTGTCTCCCCCCACTAATATTTATGCTCCCAATATACTGATACCACAATTTTAAAAAATGTAATGTTTACTGAGGCAAGTATTTCACAATTCTTACATTCTTTTTCCTGTAAAAGGTTTTGTATTTTCTTTGGTTAATAGCTGCCCTGATTGTGTTCATTTGTTTCCACTGTTTTCAAACATGATCAATCAATTCTGTAAAATTTCTGTTACTATTGTGTTCCAAACCACCAAAACATTATATAATATGAATTGAAACTTTATTTCAAAGAGATATAATTTATTCTGCTCTTCTTCTTTCTAAATCAATCTATACTGTTGTTTCTGGGCCTGTTGCACTATGGTCATTGTGGGATTTCACTTTTCCTCTGTAACATTCCCTGTATTCTGAAGCTTGTGCCTTCCTCTTCCCAGAGTGAAGACTGCATTGTTGGCTTCCGTACTTTTGAGGTTTTGGAATCAGATTGATTTCCTTGTTCTTCAGCTTGCAGATGGCCCACCGTGAGACTTCACCTTGTGATCATGTGAGTCAATACTCCTTGATAAACTCCGCTTTTTGTTTATATATTTGTTAGTTTATATATTTGTTTATATAAACTAATATATATATCCTATTAGTTCTGTTCCTCTAGAGAACGCTGACCAACACAGACCCTTCCTCTTGGCAAGGGTATTCCAAAGTTAACCTGAGAAACTAGTTAAGTCCATGATACAAAGAGGGTGATGGACATTCCTAATTATACCCTCCTCCTTTTTGGAATTACTGATAGAGAAGACTCTTTAAGTCGGACAAAAAATTTATAATTTATTCTCTCTGAAGACTGCTACCTGGAGACTTCATGTGCATGATAAAACCTTGGTCTACACAACCCCTTATTGTAACCCAGACATTCCTTTATATTGATAATAATTCTTCCAACTTATTGCCAATTAGAAAATCTTTAAATCTGCCTATTACCTGGAAGCTTCCCTTCTAGTGGTCCCATCTTCCCAGACTGAAGCAATGTACATTTTACATGTATTGAATGATGTCTCATGTCTCTCTAAAATACGTAAAACCATGCTGTACCCTGACCACCCTGGATACATGTTGTAGGGAACTTCTGAGGCTATATCATGGGTGTGTTCTTAACCTTGGCAAAATAAACTTTCTAAATTTATTGAGACCTACCTCAGGTACTTTGGTTTACAAATTGGTAACCAAAAAGAGATTCTGAGCTACAATGTTAGAAGTGGCTGAGGGCTGAGGAAAGTTTACATGAAGTGGTCTTAGCTTTTATTCATTTATTATTATTTTTAATTTTCTTCCTAGGAAGATGTTTAGGATCCAAATTATAGTTTAGTAGTGCATTCCAAAGAGTCTCCTCCATTGCCATATCTCCCCAGATTAATTTCAATCAGCTTGTCTGTGAATTTGCATAAGGAAGTGAACTGTCATTCTCATAGATAAATCATATATTGAGCTCCTTAGCTCCAAAGCAAACAAGCATTTTGCTCCTCCCAGCCAAAAGGCACCCTTGGGTGACTAAATGCTGATTGGAAGTGTCTGGGGGTTGACTTCCTAAATTGTATGGTGGCTATATAGGGATTCCCCAACAAAATTAGTTTAAAAAGGGTCATCCAGGAAAGGCATATAAGAGCTGATTAATCAGTGTTTTGAACCCTTTCATAGGTGATAGACCTCTAGAGAGAGAAGCTGAGACATCTAAGAGGGTGTAAACAATTCAGTGGTGGCACCGTGGAGTCCTACTAACAATTAGCACACTTCGATCCACCACACTAAGAACCCTAAGCCAAAGCTCAGTTCCACATTTTAAGAAAAAATTGGGGAAACAAATCAAAGAATGAGGAAAGACAAAGAGAAAGACCCTTTTTCAAGCACCCCTTTTGGTTTTATGGTGCCTTTACTTGCAAGTGTTTGTGTAAATAAAAGAGTATGCCAGGTTTTCTAGTAATCCGGCTGGTTACCCATTTGGTCTGTTCTTGTGCACATTTTAAACTGCTGGGCAAATTACATGAAGGGAAGCTCAGAGCCCAAAGGTTGATTTGCAATGGTAAAGTTCCTAAGTTCTCTGTTTATTTCTATGTTTTATTTTCTGCCTACTTTACATTTGCTGTTACTTTTCTACTAGTGCTGAAGTGAAAAACAAACAAAAAACGTCATTTGTATCTATCCATTTTTTTGTAAACTGGTGAGTTTATATTGACAACTCATGCTAGATTTCTGATGTAAAAGCTCTAGAATCTGTCTGTGCATGTATATGCATGTTCAGATGTGTTTATATGTACGTACATGTATTTTGTTATATGTTGTGGCCACAAGGTACCCAAACGGGTTATAATAAAGGAGTACTTATAAAACAGGTAAATAATCCAAAATGCCTTTCAAGTTCACATTACTTAAATGCAATTTTTAATGAATAAGCTGGCATTAAACTTATTGGTAAAATAATATTGGAAATGTCTTAAGAATTGTCAGCATGTATTTTCTTAGAATTTTTGAATCAAGAGGTTTTCTATTTAATTCTGACAGTTATGAGGTGTCAAAATTAGTCATAAGCTTATAAAACTATAAATTCAGCATAAAACAGAATAATCTCTGTGTTATTTTTAATAAATAAGATAATACTGTTTGTTTAATAAAAACATCTAAATCATGAGTTATTGGTATAATATTGGCATAATACTCATATAGTTAACCATAAAATTTTTATTTGGGAAAACGTAAAATTCATAAGCTATTAAAAGGGCTAAAAGTGAAATAACTTTGATGACTATCACAGTTTTCACAAATAATGTAAACTATTAAAAATAATAAAAATAGGCCAGACACAGTGGCTCACGCCTATCATCCCAGCACTTTGGGAGGCTGAGGTGGGTGGATCACAAGGTCAGGCATTCAAGACCAGTCTGGCCAACATGGTGAAACCCCATCTCTACTAAAAATACAAAAATATAACCAGGCGTGGTGGTGGGCACCTGTAATCCCAGCTACTTGGGCGGCTGAGGCAGGAGAATTGCTTGGACCTGGGAGGTGGAGGTTGCAGTGAGCCGAGATCGTGCCACTGGACTCAAGTCTGGGTGACAGAGTGAGCCTCTGTCTCAAAAAATAGAAAAATAAAAATAAAATAATATTAAATTAATCACATAAATCTAAATAAATTGCCTAGAAATATAATTTTCATATAATTTAAAATCTAAAGTTATATAAAATTAAATAATAGGTATTTATTAAATATCTGAGTAATTTCCAGTTTAATAAATTGCAGAAAAACTTTTTTGTAAAAAATGTGTTTTTTCTAATTCATAGGTTATCCAGAGGTTATTTATGAAAGAAGGTAAAAGGAACCAGAAAATAAAAGAGATGTAAAAAATGTTTATGGATATAAATATATATTTGAGGTAAAAATGGTTATGAGAAAGAACCATGCACAGTACATTTGGACCTAAAATAAAATGGCTGCTTGTTTAAGAGACAGGAACGTTAAGAACAAGCCAGAAAGTCCAAGCATGTCATGAATGGTCTGTGCAAATGATAATAATAAAGTTCGTAAAAAATTCTAAAAATGTTGTGATTAAGTTGATTATAATTATAGAATATTATAGTAGTCTTTCTAAAAATTATAATTTGATATTTGAAAAACACTAATACAGGCTGAATGCAGTGGCTCACACCTGCAATCCCAGCACTTTGGGAGGCCAAGGCAGGCAGATCACGAGGTCAAGGGTTCGAGAGCAGACTGACCAACGCTGTGAAATCCCGTCTCTACTAAAAATACCAAAATTACCTGGGCGTGGTGGTGCCTGCCTGTAATCCCAGCTACTCAGGAGGCTGAGGCAGGAGAATCACTTGAACCCAGAAGGCGGAGGTTGCAGTGAGCCGAGATCACGCCACTGCACTCCAGCCTGGGCGACAGAGCAAGACTTTGTCTCAGAAAAAAAAGAAAAGAAAAACACTAATACAAAACTAAAGAATTGGTTAGAACAAAATTTTCTTATAATATTGACTGAATAAAATTGTAAAAAGTTTTTAATTTTTTTTTTTTTGAGATGGAGTCTCGCTCTGTCCCCCAGGCTGGAGTGCAGTGGCACAATCTTGGCTCACTACAAGCTCCACCTCCAGGGTCCACGCCATTCTCCTGCCTCAGTCTCCTGAGTAACTGGGACTACAGGCGCCCATCACCACATCTGGCTAATTTTTTGTATTTTTATTAGAGGCAGGGTTTCACCATGTTATCCATGATGGTCTTGATCTCCTGACCTCGTGATCCATCTGCCTCGGCCTCCCAAAGTGCTGGGATTATAGGCATGAGCCACCATGCATGGCCAAAAGTTTTTAATTTTTAAATTATATGATCTCTTTCTTTTTGAAATTCTTCACATTGATACCTCAGAAGTTATTCAGTTGAACCCTACTACTTCTGCTCTTTTTTCTCTTTTAAAGCCTAGGATGGCAAATTTCCCCTTCAACTTTTGTTGGCTCCTGTAATGTTTTTTAAGTTAATGGTCTAAAGTAATAAAAAATTACTGAAAACCAGCAAATAAAAATTTTTATAGGACCTGCCTCTGTCTGTCTGTTTGTTATGTCTATATATTTACATATGTCATGTGGAAGTAACATTTTAGTACCAATTATATAAAAGAGCTCTAATCAATTGGTTTGAAAAAAATAAGTGCCTATCAGACTAATAAAAGCTAGCTCAGAAGCTTCTTAGTGCATATGACTAGTAAACTTTGGTAAGATTAATTTGGCAAATTTAATCTCAATTCACTGCAGTCATTTAAAATTTTAAAGTCCTGTTCTGTTAAATTAAGTGATCCTAGATTTCCCACTAGGAATTTGGGTTTCTATGAGTCAAAATAGTAGAAGAGTAAAATGTTTTCACTACAGTTATAAAAACATGATAATATAGTTTTTGCAAAATAAAATATAATGTTTCTAGTTTAGAGGTTACTGAAGAGTTGCTTTAAAGTAAATGAAAAAATATGTAAATAAAGCTAATGAATAATGAGAAATAAAAGAATGAGAAATGAGAAGCCTTTGACTCTTGGGTGATGATGTAGTCACCCACAGTATAGAGCTGCAGCAGGGCTGTGTTCAGTTACTAACGGTAAAAGTTTCCAGTGGAATTTACAGATGGATCATACTCCCAGGGTGTTGGTTAACTGAATGAATAAGGAAATGCAAACTAATAAAGAAAAAAGAAAATATGTAATTACTTAGTTATTATCTGTAATAGCAAAAAAACTAATAAGTAACTCTGAGATCTGTTGTTACCAAGAAGATAGTCAATGTAGGGGATAGGCAAAATCAAGTAACTATTAAAATCAGAAGGTACAGTGTAAAGTGAACAATGACTTGAGAAGCCTTATCAAACTGGCTGGCCCTCATAGGTTTTACAGCAATAAGGAGTCAAAGGACTCATCCCAACAGGGTGGAAATCCTAAGATGACTATTGTAAAATGTAATAAATAAACCTGAAATAGATAAGATTAAAACAAACATCTTCACAACACTTTCAAAGGTTGGATGGACTAAGGGAGACCCTCCTGGTCCCTCAACATTAAAGTGCCCACACCAGTTTTCTGCATTTGCAGAGGATTCCTAGACGCCCATGTGTGGAACACAACAGAAGTAAAATCCTTCCCCTGTCTCTCTTGGACTTGGCTGGATACAACTTTCACCAACCCATGGAACCACCCTGTCCTGACAGCTAGCAAGAGGCCAAGACCAACAAAACAACCACCACATCCCCATCAGCAGGAAGCAGTTATAGAATACTGAGTTTCATCAATTTTTCCCAAAGAATTGGGGTATTGGACTCTTGAGGGGGGAAATGTTACAGTAATTTGTTAGGCAGATATGAGCAGGACAGGAGATCCCCTCACCCCAAATACACACCTCCAGGAATGTCAGGCAACCAATAGGTGATGGTCAGGTGGTTGATAAACTGTCTCTCTTAAATAACAATTAGTTGCAGCTGGCACCATGGAAAAGGCAGTCACCCAATAGATTGAAAAAAAAAAAGAACCCTGAAGCTGGTGATCAGCAGCTTTCCAATAATATTTCAGGATTTGGGTGAGTGGGCTCAAACATGCATACTAAGAGCAAAATGGCAGAGTTTAGCTGATATATAACCTACCTATAGGAACACATGACTTAAGGGAAAAACATCTCAAATGAGCATGTGTAAAACTTAATTAAACACACTGCACATGTGGCCCATCCCAAGTGTTGGCAGGCCACTGTACAAGCAGACATCTCACCCCAAGGCAAGACTCAAGGAAGAAGTAAAACGGACCATAGAAGTATGTCAACATATAAAATCCTAAGTCAAAGGTCAAGCTATGCACTTAAACCTCTCAAGTTGCCCAATTGGCCCTCTTTTAAGTGTATTTTAACTCCCTTTTGTTTCTGCTCTAAAACTTTTTAATAAACATTCATCCCTGCTCTAAAACTCACCACAGTCTATCCCTGTGCCTTATGCCCCCTGGTTGAACTATTTCTGTTGAGGAGGCAAGAACTGACGTTGCTGTAGACCTATATGGATTTGTGGCTGTTAACATTGCTAGATTCTACCGTGCCTGATAAACAGCTTTTATTTGACAAGAACTGCATGCATGGCTCTTCAATGGCAGTTCCAAAGTAAGCAAACAAATCCTGTTTGGAATCTACTGTTCTTGTTAAAGAATAATTAAGAAAATATTTTTCCTTTGAGTTACTTATAGTTTAGAGCAATTAGATAAAGTATGTTTTAGTGAGCAAATTTTACCTTTCTCTCCATCTGTATTATCCCAAATCTAAAAGCTATTTGTCAATATTCTGATTTTATGGTAATATAGCTATTTGCCTAAGTTTAGTAAGCATCTTTTCTTTTGAAACAAGACACAATTGGAGACACTGATTATTTTACCAAGGCTTTGACTTGAATGACATATTTTCAGGTAAAGTTACAGAAAGCCAACTTGAAAAGAATCTGTACAGCCAATCAATTCTTGATGCACTTTGTGTGAATAATCAAGCCAAGTATAATAAACCTAAAACTTACTTTACACACAAATTCGTCTTACTATAATCTCTGTTTAATAGAAAGGGAAGGCTAGAAAAAAAGAGAAATTGTTTTAAAGAGAACTAAAATGCCCATTACTAAGTTCAAGCTCTGACTTTTATTTTTGAGTTCAGATTAAATCATTAATTATTTCTTGGCTACAATAATCATCAAAAAGAGCAATAGGTTATAATTTTCCTCATGTTTTTAGTTGGCACCCTAATGGAATAGATTCCTTATGTTCTGGCACACACATTATCTTTTAATTATCAAATTATTAATATTATTCATGTATTGTAATTTTACTTCTGAGAAAACCAGAATCACAGTATTAGGAAGACTAGAGATGGTTTTTCAAAGGCTGCATATTTCCCACATTTGGAATCCCACTGGGCCTGATCTGTTTATCACTGCAAATGCCCTGCTGCTGAAACTATACTAGCACCCACCATTTTGGCCCAGTGAAGAGGTGGGTATATGAGATTCTAATGGCCAGTTTTGAGGTTTATAATTAGATTAGACCGTCCAAATAAAGGAGGTGCTAAACAACTGGTAAAATAAGGGACATGGCCACCTGGGTTATTACATACGTGGCACCATTCCATCCAATCCATTCATAAAAAATTTTCTGTTCCCTATAGAATTAAAAGAAAATTATTACTGAGAGGAAATAAAGATACCTCGTGACAAAGCCTTGTGGGTATAATTCTCCTAGTTATGCAATATATGCAGATATATATATATATAATTAATTGATCAGCCGCCATAGGACAAATTATCAAAAAAGCACAAAAAGCATTGCAGCACAAAAGAAGTCCCTGAATTCCTTAGCTTAAATGGTTTTAACAATGCTTACGTTTTATATAGCTAATTGTTATAAGTCTGTAATTAAAACCAAGATTACAGTAGCTCTATACATAGAAGTTAAAGATACATAAACTGAATTTTGTAACCTGTACTATACCCTTTTGTTTGTTGGCATTTATATTACTTTAAGAATATTAAAGGGTAATAAATGCCTGTCCACATCCAATATTTGGCTTTTTGTTTGTTGGCTTTTATATTACTTTACAAATTTTAAAGGGTGATGAATACTTGTCTACATCAGTTTCTCCCTGGTCAAGAATATTTAATTGGTCATAAGTCTTTTGTCTCTGAGTCTGTTGGTCATAGAGGGTCCCAGCAAAGGACAGGATGAAACTGGGGCAGGCAGCCATGCCATCCTGGCAATACTATGGGACAAAATAAAAGTTTGGTGGTCATTGATGTTGCCTCAGACTAATCTTGGTCAGAAGGAGGAGAATGTAAGCAAAAAATAAAATTATAAACCCCCTAACCATCTGAATGGAACTCTCCTCTAAGCAAGAGCACTCCAAAGTTAATCAAAAAAACTAGTTCAGGCCACAACGGGAAAGGGGAACTGAACATACCTTATTACACCCTTCTCCCTTTTGGAATTACTGATAGAACAGACTCTTTAAGTCTGATAAGAAATATTTATAATCTATTTCCTCTGAAGCTGGCTACCGGGCGCTTCATATGCATGACAAACCTTGGTCTCTACATCTTGTTATTGTAACCTAGACTTTCCTTCCTATTGATAATAACTCTGTCAACAATTTGCCAATCAGAAATTTTTAAATCTACCTATGACCTAGAAGCCCTAGCTTTGAATTGTCCTGCTCTTACAGACAAAACCAATTTACATCTTACATGTATTTACTGATGTCTCATGTCTCTCTAAAATGTATAAAACCAAGCTGTACCCCAACTACCTTGGGCACATGTTTCCAGGACCTCCTGAGGTTGTGTTATGGGTGTGACCGTAACCTTGGCAAAGTAAACTTTCTAAATTGATGGGGACCTGTCTCAGATACTTTTGGTTTACAAATATTTGGAGATTGGGATCTCTTTACATATGGCTAGTAAATTTCATGGCATTGTTTCTTGATGTGGCTCCTTTTCTTTTATTGTGCTGCATATTCTAGTGGACACTCTCAATGTGCACATCAAAACAGTTTTATCTTCTTTCTGTTCCTATGTTAGTTAGATATTTGAGTTCCGGTAGAGCTATTCTAAAATTCTCATATTTTTCTTTTTTATATCATTTTGTTCTACTTCTTGGGAAATTTACTCATTTGTAGCTCCAAAATACATATTAAAGTTTTCTATTGAGGTTGCCATATTTTTAATGTTCAAAGGCTATCTTTTCTATGTTTTTTCCATACAACCCATTGTTTTATGTATAAAATATCTTTTTATTTTTCCATGCATATAATGTGTTTTTAAAATGATTTTTTTTCTGCTTCCTAAGTTGACTCTAATCATTCATTCATTCTTAAATTTATTTTGTTTCTCTCTTTCATCTTGGATATTTATCTTAAAAGTTGGTTGAACCTAGCATATCCATTCATATTTAAGAGTGAAGTACTTAAAATCTTTGGAAGCACTTCACTGAAATAATAAGGCTTCACTCCAGAGTAAAAATGTGGATAACACACTATTTCATTGATAACCTCTAAAACTAGGCTCTGGAGGTCTTTCCTCTGAGGCTATTTAGTTTCTTAGAAAATAATAAAAATACATATGCCCTTTAACATAATTCTGATGATTAGAAGTAATCAATGGTTATTTTATAATAAAATTATTGCAGTTTTTGTCTAAGGAATATGAAAGCAGTACCCAGAAGCCTGGATGCCAATACAGTCATGCATGTACTATAGTGTCACAGTTTGAACCAGATACATAGGAAATTAGTATTTACAATTGTTAAATGAGTCTGAAGGAGCAAGTGCATTCAAAGTTATACTCTCATGATGCGGGTGGGTGCCAGGGCATTCACAATGACTAAACTCAAAGCTGAATTTTAAAATTGAGTGTTCAATTGCCCTTCTTATGCAGGCACAGCAAAAATATCCAAGGAAATTAGTAAAAGTAAAGCAATGTATAAGAATAAAAAAAATGCAAGTTTCCTCTAGTTTATTTTATTTTGCTTTAAATACTTCCAGTAACATTTTTGTATGATCCTTAACAGTATAGCACTATTAACTTCTTTATAAATATTTCTGAATCAAATCTTTTCAGTATAGTTCCAAATATTAGAAGCAATGCTATATCTAATTACTTTAAGAGATATTTCCAACTAATATTGTTTCTGAACTCACATAATTGATCTTAGATATGCTTTAATATCATGTATCTATTATTTTGCTTGTGAGCAATCCTGAAGAGGGGTAAAATAGACTCATATTTTAAACAACTTGAGTGAGAAAGCACTTTATTCCAAACTGACTTACTGAGGTCATTCTGTGATATTAATCTTTTGTGGAGTAAAAACAAATATCTATTAAGCAAAATATAGTTGAATAAGTAGTTTCTCTGCGGCATACTAATACTTTTGGATCATAGCACAAACATCAGTGATCCTTGCTACATTCTAAAAGCAGTTTTTAGGGTGCTTGGAAAGTGGATTCTGTAATGGGCTATTAGGGAAAGTCTGAGCTCCAGCCTAGTTATTGTATTCATTACCCTAAAACCTGACATGTTCTCTCCCATCTTCCTGCTTCTGCTCACTGAATTCTTCATAAATTGTAAAATTATTAGTCAGAATAGTGTCTCATACCTGTTAGAAGCATTGGTACCTGGCATAACGGACTGGTAAAATGTTTTCTGTTTGACGATCAATCGGAATAGCCTGACAGGTGCTCAAAACATATTTATCAAATAAATAAAAGATGAAATACAAATACATTGGTTTATTTTAGTCAATAATATTTAGTAAGTTGTAAGGTATGGCTAATTTTTATTTATATTTTAATCAAGTTTCTATCCATATATATTATTAACTATATAGAGTATTACTCTGCTTCTCTCTCTCTCTCTGTACCTCCCTCTATAAATATACATTTTTTTCAGACTATTGTGAACAACATGTTGGGCTTAAGTCTTCTACACTATAAAACATTAATTTGTCTTCTTGCTTTGATTTAATAGTCCCTGAAATGCTGATAATGTGGAAATCAAATTCTCTAGCTGAGGCTTCCCTTTGGAACTTCTCAATTATACAAAACATAATCTGCATCTGGACAAAACACAGGCAGCTTAATGTGCATATAAGTGAAATTCTCCAATCCTTTATTCTCTGTGACAATAATGGCATGCAATTCTGCCATTCAACCTGGAAACTTTAGAAAGTTAACATTTCCCTGGTCTCTCAACCCAATTTCTTTATGTATCCCAATTGCCATATATGGCTAATTTTATTTTCTAAATATTTCTTGCATCTATATCCTTTTCTCCAATACTATTCCTACTGCCTTAATTAATTCACACACTTATTATTTTTTGTATTGACCAAAATCTTCTGAAATTGTTTTTACCTCCATTTTTGCCTGACTGAAATAAGTTTTCAATACTGCTGTTGATGGTTATAGTTTCAGAATTGGAATAGACAGACCTGGGCTTACATCTTAGGCCTACATTGACTATCTGTTTGCTCACAGATAAAATATTACGTAGCTCTAAATTTTAGTTCTTCTCATAATTGAAGTGTGGAGAATAATGACTGCTTCTCAGTACTATTGCAAGAATTTAGTAATTATATGTAAGTAAAGATTTTTCTAAGTTCCTAATACGGAGTATGTATTCAATAAATATATATCATTTGTGCCTGTCTAAACGACTAATTTGACTGGTTTCTATCTTAAATTAGAAATTATACCAACTTAGTATGTAATAAAAGACACTCTATGATCTGGTCTCTGCAGAAACTGTGGAGTTTATGTAGTGCTAAAAGACATTGGAATTCCAAGTGCCCAGAGCATGAAGTCTATGTTAAACACTCTTTTCATTAAGTGTAAATCTAGACAGGACACAAATTAGATGTAGAAATACTGTAACTCTAGAGTGAGAGCTGCATGCGCTCTTACACAATCTAAAGGAAGATGCAGAAATAAGAGAAAAAAAATTTTTAACAAAAGCATAACTAGAGATGATAAATATGAGAATTAGCAGGCAAAAACATTAGCACAGTTATTACAGTTATATTGAACAATCAATGACTTAAATTTAAATATGAAGATGAATATAATGTGTGAGTAAATAGCAAATCTAAATAGAAATATCAAAATTATGAAAAATTCAAAAGGAAATTTGAAGTCAGAAAAATATCTAAAATTTTAAATAAATTACTAAATGGGCTTAATGAAAACACAAAGCAGAAAACTATGAGCACATTTGAAAACACAATAACAGATTCTATGCAACATAGATAAAAACCAAGCTATACCAAGTGAACAGCATCACTATCCAGTGTTTTCATATCTAATTATCTAAATATGTGACTTTGAATGAGAAGATAGTGAGGCATAGAAAATGGTAAAATATTGACATTAATTGAAAGCTAGCCACCCATAAGCCCAAAAAATATAACAAACTGTAAGTTGAATAAACTAAAAACAAAACAAAACAAAAAACACACCTAGGCACAATATAGTTAAATATACAAAAGCTAAATAAAAAACCTTAAACAGCCACATGAAAAACATAGATTATTTATAGGACATGAAATATTATAATGTCCTATCATCAGAAACATCACATGTCAAAAAAGCCCACTAAAACCAGAATATATTTAAAATAATGAAATAAAATTACTATTAAACTAGAATTTAATATTCAACAAAATACTCTTCAAATATGACAAAAAAATTTATATTAACAAAAGTTGTAACAGTTTAACACCAGGAGACCTGCAATATTAGAATATATATATATTAAAAGAAGTTATTCAGGCTGATTTTAAATTATATCAGGTAGAAAATTAGATATATGAAAAAATAAATAATGCTAATGGTAAACCTGTGGATAAATATAAAAGAAATTCTGTTTACTAAAAATATAATGAATTATGAAAATAAAAACAAAGCATAATGGAGTTTATAACATATAGAGGTAAATTGTATGACAATGATATGACAAAGAATGAGAAGGCTCATGGAATGATACTGTTGTAACATTCTTATAGCTATGTAAAGTAGCTTAATATCAATTTAAGTTAATTACAATAATTTTAATCCTAAGGGAACAATTGTGACAAATAAAAGCAACGATATGCAAATAAAGGCCAATAGAGAAGATTAAATTTATATATTTATGTACTCAAAGGTATAAAAAAAGATTAAGAAGCAGAATGAACAATAGGACAAATAAATAACAAAATGCTAAGTGGTCAACTTAAAAAATACCAATAGTTACAAAAATTGAAAAGGAACTAAATATATTTTATAAAAGACACACACTGTAAGTCTGGATAATAAGCTCCCGAACCAAAAAAATATAATAAATAAGATGACACAGATAAGTTATGAGTAATCTTTTAAAAAAATCTGTCCTACGGCAAACATGCATCATAGAAAATACTGGAGTGGTTACATTTGTATCTTAAAAAGTGAACTTCAGGCCGGGTGTGGTGGCTCACATCTGTAATCTCAGCACTTTGGGAGGCTGAGGCGGGTGGATCATGAGGTCAGGAGATCAAGAACATCCTGGCTAACACGGTGAAACCCCATCTCTACTAAAAATACAAAAAATTAGCTGGGCGTGGTGGCACACACCTGTAATTCCAGCTATTTGGGAGGCTGAGGCAGGAGAATTGCTTGAACCCAGGAGGCGGAGGTTATAGTGACCCCAGAAAGTACCATTGCACTCCAGCCTGGGTGACAGAGAAAGACTCCATCCAAAAAAAAAATGAACTTCAATACAATAATATGACCAAAGATAAAGAAGATAATTTTATAATGATAACCTGACTAATTTATCAGAATATGTAGAAATCTTAAATATGTATGCACCTTAAAATACAGCTTAAATTAAATAAAGCAGAAACAGAATTCAACACAAAAAGACACTTCCACCAAAATAATTGGAGATACTGGCACTTCTCCTGTACTAATTGATAGAAAAAAACCAGGCCAAAAAAAAATGAGTAAGGTTATATAGGACTTGAACCAATTCTATCATCCCATTAAACCTAACTGGCATGTGTAAGACAGTATACTGAACTGAAAAATATGCACTCTTTGAAAGTTCATAAGGAGCATTCACAGAGACTGCAAACTGAGTCACAAAATATTCCAAAAACTTTAAAAAAATAATTCAGAACATGCTCTCTTAGCAAAATGACATCAAGGGAGAATTAACTAACAAATTCATATACTTGAAAAAGCAACAAATATTTGAAAATAAAGTAACACTTTTAAATTACACATGTATCAAAGATACAGGAGAAATGTTAAAATATCTTGAATTAAATTATCTTAAAATTACAACAAATGTAAGTGTGTAAAGTAAAACTTAAGCAGTGTTTATTGTTTAGAAAAATTTGTGAAATTCAACTTAAGTTGTGTCTATTGTTTAGTTTTCAAAAAGTTTTTTAAACAGTTGGATCTTGAAAACACTTAAAAAATTTATAAAGTCCTAGCTACACTGATAAACCAAAAAATAAAGCACAATTTACCACTGTTAGGAAAAATGAGAGAACATAAATCTTACAGAACTTAAAATATAATAAATACATTTTATGAACAACTTTATGCCAATAATTTGACAACTTAAAAAAGGCATTTAATAAGCAAACTTCCAAAAATCAACAATCCAGAAAGGATTCTAAAAGCAGCAAAAGCAAAAGATAAAATAACACACTGTGAAGCTCCAATACATCTGGTAGCAGACTTTTCAGTGGAAATCTTACAAGCAAGGAGAGAGTGGTGTGAACCCCTAAAATTTAAGACAGATCTCAGTTAATTTAGAAAGTTTATTTTGCCAACATTGAGAATACACACCTGTGACACAACCTCAGGAGGTCCTGACAAAGTGTGTCCAAGGTGATCAGATCATAGCTTAGTTATATGTATTTTTTAGGGAGACATGAGACAACAATCAATATATGTAAAATGAATATTGGTTTGGTCCAGAAAGCAGTGGCAATTTGAAGCAGGGTGGGGGCTTCCGGGTCACAGGTGGGTGAGAGAAAAACGATTGCGTTCTTTTGAGTTTCTGATTAGCCTTTCCAAAGAAAGCAATCAAATATGCATTTATCTCAGTGAGCAGAGGGATGACTTTCAATGCAATGGGAGGCAGATTTGCCCTAAGCAGTTCCCAGCTTGAATTTACTTTTTAACTTAGTGATTTTGGGTGACCAATATATTTTCCTTTCACATTTCCCCTGTTTTCTTTTATTAAATCTTTTGGAGAAAGCATTTTAGAAGAAAATGAGTATTTGGTCTCAGATTTCATCCTCTCTCTTATGGCTAAGATGGTTTATTCCTAAACAGGTAGGTGTGTAGTTATTAGGAAAGGTCATTTTTAGAAGATTGTGGTCTCATGCCCTGTGAGAAGAAAATAGGGGGAGAGAAGGGGCCAGCCTTCAGGCAACAGCGTTGCAAGATGGCAGCCACCATGGGCTAGGGAGTAACAGTCCCTTACAATTTCCATCTGTTGGACGAACTCGAAGAAAGGAGTAGGAGATGGCACAGTTAGCTGGGGTCTAGAAGATGACGAAGACATGACACTTATAAGATGGACAGGGAAGATAACTGGGCCTCCAAGGACAATTTATGAAAACCAAGTACACAGCCTGAGAATAGAATGTGAACCTAAATACCCAGAAACACCCCCTTTGTAAGATTTGTAACAAAAATTAAAATGGAGTTAATAGTTCTAATGGAGTGGTGGACACAAGAGCCACATCAGTGCTAGCAAAATGGCAGAATTCATATAGCACCAAAGTTGTCCTGCAAGAGCTTTGGTGCCTAATTATGTCTAAAGAAAATATGAAACTCCCTCAGTCACCTGAAGGACAGTGTTACAGCAATTAATCCAGAAGAAAAACCACAAGCCCCTCCCTTTTCCCCCCATTCGATTTAAGCAGTCTTCATTTTCCAGAGTAGTATATTTTCCAGATACATCTTGTAGACCTCAAAGTACTGGAAAGAAAGCTCCCATTCAAAGGAAATTTATCTTAAGATATATAAATGATACTAATTTTTTGTCCACTTGAAATATATAAGTTGTGCTATGACAAATCATCCTGTCAAGTGTAACCACTGTCCCCATAGTTGAACTTCTGGGATCAAGAAAGTCTATTTAAATTGATTCCCATCATAACTGATGGGGCATATCTAACTCAACTGTGAAAAGACACATCACACAATCACCTTGCTGCTGATTACATGTTCTGGGGTCTCTGCCTACCTACTACCTCCCACCCTCCCTGCAACAACAGCCCTCTAGCCTGGGGGGCCTGTAGAGTAGATGTGAAGGTTTCAGGTTACAGCCTGTGAGACTACTGCTGGGTGTGTAGGGTGCTTCACCTGCACCCCTGGTTTCTTCAAGTCTTAAATGATGCCCTTTCCAAGCCATCATCCTCTTCCCAAGCTCCTCCACTCCTGCCCTTGGCCGAAGCATAGATTGTAACCCCTCCGCTACCCTCTGAGATTAGCTTTTGGTGAGGAATTCAGGGCTTTCCCCATATCTTCTCTCCCCTACCTTTATTAAGGGGTGCACTTTTTCTTCCCTCCTCCTCAAGCTGCTTTTTGCACCATCACCACCCAACACCTTCCATGACACTTCCTTGCTTTGGCCAGAAGCCATCAGACAAGGATGGAAAGACCCTCTGATTTCCTTTGTTTAGTTTTGGAACCATACTTATTCACTTTCCACCAACCTGGGAAATGAATATTGGGTCCTCAGCCCTGCCACCCTCTGCTGTCATCAGCTAATGCACTGTTTTTAGCTCAGGTTTTGATAATGTGGAAAGAGAATAGTCACTGGGGTTACTCAGACCTGCCAGCTCTCAGAGTCCTTGGTGGTTAAACTTGGAGAAAGACCACATGAAGACACTTGCAAGTACACATGATCCCTGTGAATTGTTTTACTTTCCTGTAATTGCTTTTGCATTTAAAAATTGAAGAAGTTGACTAGGCATGGTGGCTCATGCCTGTAATCCCAGCACTTTGGGAGGCTGAGGCAGGTGGATCACCTGAGGTGAGGAGTTCGAGACCAGCCTGACCAACATGGTGACACCCCATCTGTACTAAAAATACAAAATTAGCTGGGTGTGGCGGCACATGCTTGTAATCCCACTACCTGGGAGGCTAAGGCAGGAGAATTGCTTGAACCCAGGTGGCAGAGGTTGCAGTGAGCTGAGATCGTGCCATTGCACTCCAGCCTAGGCAACAAGAGTGAAACTCTGTCTCAAAAAAAAAAAAAAGAAAAGAAAAAGAAGAAGTTTTAAACAGGGCTTTTATTTGGTCATACTTGCAATACATTGGGGTCTAGTTTGGAATCTGACAACTGGAACAAAAAGAACCTTGAATCCGGTGCATGCCTTGGTTTTGGTGCTGCTGCTGCTTCTCAAGTTCCTCAGCAGGGATTAAGAAAGAACCTAGTGTGCACAGCAGATCCCCAAAATTGGGGGGATTGAATTGCTGTGTCTTTCCACTTTCTGTTCAGGACCACTAAATGCTGAAATGTGGATGCATACCAAAATAAAAGCAATTTGTTGTGAAAAAAAAAACAGGGGGAGAAAGGGAGAAAAGTAATAACAAACAAAAGAACAATTCTGGAAAATCAATATAGTCCACAATACTCTGAAGTCCATATATCAGTAGGCAGGTATGAAAGTGGCTTATGTACATAAATAGGTTGCTGTTATTTTCTTCTGAAGATTAAGTTGTCTAGCTTCAGTTCTCAGGGATTTCTGAAAGCACAGCTTAGCTTTCAGTGCTTTCAAATGAATAAAAATGCAAAAAAGAAGAAAAAAATGAATATGTTACTTGCAGATTGTAGCCAATAAAAAGAATTGGGTCCAAACCATAGAAAATAAAAACATTAGGCAAAACTAGAATCTAACAACAGGTGTACTATAGTTTTTGAAACATAATTTTTCTCTCTCCAGTTTCCCATTTTTGCTAAAGACAAATCATGATAGAACTGGTTTGCTTTATTATAATTTGCCCAATTATTTGTATAAAGTGCAGTCATAATTATTTTTTACATACATATTTTTTAATTCACTTTGATGGAACTTTATTCCATAGAAGAAATCTCAGATAAGATTTTTTTAAAGCCAAATCCAGTCATGGATTTGTACCATTAGTACCTATTAGTTAGGTGAATTTCCTCTTTTCTTGAGGTTCCATGATAAACCTAGGGCTTCCCGGCCTATCAGAAAGTGACATTCTTTACTTACCACAGGTCAGAAACCCTGTACAGGGACTGTGTATATAAAATATGACGCCAGCTTCTCCAAGGGCTTTATTGGCTCCATAAGTCAAGTTTGATTCCTTAAAGGGAAGCACACCATTCCATTCAAAGCCTTGGTAAAATAACCAGTTTCTCTAACTGTGTTCTGTTACAATTAAAAATAGATTCTTATTACACTTATGCAAATAACTGTATTGCCATAAATTAAGAATACTCACAAATAGTTTCCAAATTCTGCAGAAATCAGGTCGAGAGAAACAAATATGCCCCAAATTTTGTCCTTAGGAGTAAAATAAATTGTTAAAAGCTATCAATAACTCAAAAGAAAAGTTTTGAGACCTGAAAAACAAAACAAAGAATCAGAAACATTTTAAGCAAAAAGTCAAAAATGTTAGTTCAGTCCATATAGTTCATTCCTTTTCTGCTTGATACTCATGAACATTTTAGCTCTCCATGAGTCCTAAAAGTTTTTCCTCTATTCTGATGTCACAATCTCCAAAGTTATCAGAAACCTGCATTCAAGAGCACCTGTTAGAGTTTTATAGCTTATTATAAAACCCCTTCTAAAGAGGAACAAAACAAGACAACAATTGTCTGCGGATGACAAAAATTTTAGGGCATCCATAGTCAAAGACACAATTGACAAGGAAATTTGTTACCTCTGTGGCACACAATAATTTTAATATAACAATTATGATAATTATTAATAACATACCCTAAGTTATATCAGAATTACAGGAGTTTTCCATAATTTTGGAACACATACCAAAAACATATTTATATAAATACAGCTCAAAGAAAACCAAACATCATTTCATATTTGACAATACTTTCTGTATAATTTTTATACTAAATAAGACAAATTATTTCATTTTTGGACTTTAGGGAGAGTAAATCTTAAAGGATTAATTAGGCCAGAAAAAGATATAGTTTATAATTTGATTTCAGAAAGTTTGTCTAATATCAAAGGTTTAAAACACTTAATATTGCAAAATAAGATTAGAGGTTATGGTAAAGTAAGTCATTCATTTAAACAAAGTGATAACTCAAGGATTAAAAAAAAGAAGGCAAAAACCTTCATTCTTTGAGAGAGGAGACTTAATTTTCCAACAGTATTCTCTAATAAAAAACAGCATAAAGTCCATTAAATTTGTTATTCAAAATTTTATAAACAATCTATAAAATTTTAATTTTGATGAAAAGATATAACTTTCATAAGCCTTTTATAATCTTTATAACCTTTATTAAGGAGTTGGTTAATACTTTAAGAAAACCTTGTTAATCTGACACAGAGGCCCATATGCTGGTCTTGCATCAGTGTGCCTTTGACATTAATGATTAATTTATAGAGAAACTGAACTGATTTTATCTTTCAAAATTGACCCTTACAATCTCATATGCCCACCTCTTCCACAATAGTCCCTGGGACTTCAGGAGTCGAATAGCTTTAGTTTTTGGCCCTGTGTCTCAGGAATGCAGTTTATTTTGATTGGCTTCTTCTATGAGGCCTGCAGATGAGGCTTTAATTGCTGTCAGTGTTAAGATTTAGCTAGACTTGGTGTTCTTTTTAGACCCAGGAGTCAAAAGCCCTGTAATTCAATGTCACAAGAACCTTAAAAGCATATGTAGGAAAATACACAGATGTAATATCCTTAATTTAAAAGAAAATTAAATCTCAGCTTTTTTCTAAGCAAACCAAAATTAATAATAATGGTATAGGAATTGCTTTGATGAAACATAAATCCTGTTAGGCCAGCTAACAAGAGACAAGAGAAAACACTTTCTGCAATGCAGAGAATATTATGTTGGGAAAAAACATTTCCTTTAGACCTTTAAGAAAACTTACCTTTTAAAAGAGGAGAGAAAGCCAAAAAACAGCAAGATGAAATAAAAGTTGAAATTGGGGTTAGAAAAAGTTAAAATCTCTTGTAATTTATTGAGTAAATAAAACCCTTAAGAAAATTTTATTGTTCTAACCGATAATTTAGTGTATATAGAGGTTTTTTTCCATGAAGTCCAATCTCTAGAAAGAGTGTTATAATTTTCCTTTAAGTATAACCAACTTGATCAAATAAAAGTTTTTAAAATAAACCCTCTTATTGTGACTTACAGATACCTTTAATGACATGCTTGGACTTTCTGGTTTGTCCTGAACATCTGTCTTTCTGAAACAACCAGTCACTTTATTTTAGGACTAAATTTACCATACAAAATTCTTTCTCATATAAAATTATTTATCTTTAAGCTTTCTTACCACAAAAAAACTCTTTATTTTTATAAATTCTGTACATTTTTCTTATTTCCTGGTTCCTTTACCTTGTTTTATACATCACTTTTAAATAAGTTTTGAAATAGACAAAACTTATTCACCCTTTTTAAAAAGGACACAATTTTTTTAGCAAGTTCAAGTTTTCCTACAATATATTTTTATTGGAAAATACCCAAATAATGAAATATCTATTATTTAATTTAATAGAACATTACATTCTAAATAATGACAAGTTAGTTTATAGTTTAGCTTTGAAACAAAGATGATAACAGTCCTTTCCCAAAACAAACCTCCTTACTGCCTATGGACTAGACTGCCTAAAGCCACAAAATTAGAAGGTACAGTAATTTTACTAAATAATTCAAAATGTAGCCATTTATATTAAACTAATATCAATGTCTTATTTATTAAAAGTTACACAAGCAAAGATTATTCTGTTTTAGGCTGGGTTTATAGTTTTGTAACCCCTGTGCCAAATTTTGATACCTTATAATATTTCAAAGGGATAAGTATGAAGTTGATTGATTAATAAATGCAAACAAAAATGTATGCTAGTAATTCTTAAGACATTTCTAACATTACTTTACCAATAACTTTAAACCTAACTTAGTTCTTAAAGATTTTACTTAAGTTACATAAACTCAAAAAAGCAGTTGACTAGTCTTTTCTTCTTTCCTAATAAGTATTTTATTTGAATGCTTTTATTTTCTCAAGCCAGTTAATTAGAGCTTTTTTATACATTTTCAGTAGTGAAACATTGTGTACACAACACATAAATATAGAGATATATTAGGCATCTTGATAGAAGTATGTCTTATAAATTCTTAAGACCTCCTTATTTTTCCTATTTTAGACTTGCCAACTCTTGATAACCTGTTTTCTTACCCTGGCAGTTGTCAGCTAAATAGTCCTAAATCTGCATATTAAAGAAAACAACTCAGGTGAAAATCAGATAGCAAAATTCACATCATAAGGTATGAAGAGAAAGTCTCGTTAGCTAGAGGGAAATTAAAATGGATTTAATTGCCAATTGAACAGAAAATTACAGAAATCTAGGCCTCCAAATACACACACACATACACACACACATACACATACACATACACATACACATACACACTCACAAAGATTCTATAGCTTTTATTTCAGTACTTTAGCCATGAGATAAATACAAATTCACTGGCTTGTGAAAAACAAACATGCAAACAACAACAACAAAAACCTGTTAGATCCAAACAGTGGTTTTTATCTCAGTAGAAAAATAAACAGCAGATTTAAAGCAGGCAGAAAAGAAAATAGAGAAAAAGTGGACATAGGAACTCTATAGTTTGCAGGTTGACCTTAGGGCTCTTCTTCCTTAATGTAAATGTGCACAAAGACTATATTACTTCAATTTTACTCTGGCAAGTATAGGTGCCATAAAACCTACAGCGTGCCCCAAAGGGTGTCATCCTCCTTGTTTTCTAGATCTCAGATCACTGCAACCTCTGCCTCCCGGGTTCAAGCTATTCTTCTGCCTCAACATATTGTGCATGCAGCCTCTTGCAAGTGCTGGCAGGCCACTGTGCATGTGGACAGCCTACTCCAAAGGAACAATCAAGGGAGGAGAAATGCAAACCCCAGATCCATGCCAAGGTAAAAAAACTCTAAGTCCAGGGCTAATCAGGGCACTTGGATCTCTCAAGTCATCCTCTTGGCCCTCTTCCAAGTGTACTTTGCTTCCTCTAATTTCTGCTCTAAAACTTTTTAATAAACTCTCACTCCTGCTCTAAAACTTGCCTCCATCTCTCCCTCTACCTTAAACCTACTTCTACCCCTAAATTCTTTCCTCCAAAGGGGCAAAGATCAAGTTTGCTGCATACCTGTATGGGTTTGCTGTTGATAATGTACTTTGTTGTCATATGACTGGAATATGTTCCCTAGTGGTAGGACACCTTTATGCCTCACCTTCTTGGACTGGAGGTGTTCAACACTCACATGCAGTTTTCTTCTCTTTTTGCTCTCCTGCTTACTAACCACTACTTCCCCACCCCTAGAATGATTTCTCTCAGTGACAGTGGTTTTGCTTCCCCTGGCTGATCTCTCAGCTCACCCTGACAGATGGCTCATGGGGATGGGAAGGAACTTGGAGTCTGCACTGAGTAGACCTCAGACACTAATGGCCCTCCTGGACAGGAGGCTCATGAGAGTGGTAGGGCTAAAGACTAAGACCATGTGATGTCTGGGATTTCCTCTGCTTCTTCAACTAAAATTAGCTGTTTCCCAAAAAGTGCACATCACCTTCTTTCCTGTTTTCTCTGTCTATATCCTGAAATGGCCTTGTACATCTGCTGGACTCTCTACCTTGGGAAAAGTCTGCCTTTTCTCTGCTTTCACTTTGCATGCTGTACGACTTCTTTTTCTTCCTTAAACATAACACTCCCTGTTTGTTATTTGTGCACCCATAGCTCTTGCTGTATCTGCCTGGCAGCCTGGAGACAAGCTGCATTGCAGATATACCCTGAGATTTATACTTTGTTTACCAGATCAGATAACCTCCAACCCTTCCTCTGTCTGTTGACTCTTTGCCAGGAAAGACACTAATCAGAATCCCAGCTCTACCAGCTTCTAATGACTTTCTGTATGTTGCTTGTCCCTATTGTGCTCCAAGGCTAAGATTTTCAGTTTCTTGTGAAGTGGTTCGTCCACCTGTATAGGACCTCACTCTATGGCCTTTTAAGGACCCCACCAACTTGCTTTGTTTGTTTAGTTAGCACTCCTTTGAGAAGAAATAAAATGCTTTTATTGCAATTCGTGAGCCCTTATCTCAAGCCCCAAGTCCGTCAGAGGTTCCTCCTTTACATCAAGAAGGCAAATAAAAGTTGCCCTCTCTAATCCAAGGGTTACTGTTTTTTTGAACATATAAAGGCTTTCCATGAGTCTCCCTCTTGTTTTCTCCTGCTTCTTTCTTTAGCAGAGGGATTGTCCTGTCCGTTTAAGCATTTGTTCTGCATGTTATCCCAGGAGGAAAAGGAACCCCGAATATAAATTTTCCTCCATTCCTTTATTTCCATGCCCTTCTCAATATGCATCAGAACCTTCAAGGTTATATTCGAAGGGAGGGAAGTCCAGTCCCCTTGCAGCAGTTAGCTGAAAAACATGATTCTCATCTACTTAAGGAACATGGGAAATGGGAATATGAGAAAAGAGATAATCATTTTGTTCCCGAATGCTCCAAACGAGAGTCATTATAAGGTCATACAGACAAGTAATACAGGGTGACCCAAGGCCACAGGCACAAAAGACCAAAGTACCCATAGGACATAGATGAAGTAGATGAAGGCTGATCCCGGGCTACAGGCACAAAACAGATTACCATAGAACAAAGATGAAGGCAAGGTTAGGTGTACCGCAAAAGTCCAGTTCATTCCAGAACCCCAAGGATGAATAGGGGGCCCCGTGTTCACACTGGTATATTTTCTGTTCTCAAGTAGGTAATTGCACCTCCATAAGACAAGAGGGGACCAAGCTTAAGGGTATCCAGTGAGACCAGTTCATTCTGGAACCCCCAGGATGAATGAGGGACACCTTGTTCAGGAAAGATAGTAGAAGAATAAGAGGGAATGATTTCTTTTTCTTTTTTCTCCTCTGTTCTCTCTTCGCAGATGGGTAATCATGTGTCTGTACTACAGGACACGTCCCTTGGTTGCATCCTAAAGAACTGAGAAAAGTTTGACCACCAAGCCCTAAAGAGGAAAAGGCTAATATTTTTCTGTAACATAGCCTGGGTTGAATACAAGCTCTGGTACCAGGAATCATAGCTGGAAAATGGACAATTTTAATACAGTCCATCAACTAGATTTGTTTTGCCACCCCATGGAAAATAGATATTCCTTATATACAGGCCTTCATGACCCTAGGAAATTGTCCTGACCTTTATCAGGTTTGTAAAATAAATCCAGTGATGATAGCAGCCATAGTCAGAGAGCCCCCTCCAATTGGTTTGGGAGACCCCTTATTGGGTTTGCACAGGGTTCAAGCCCCATAAAACCTAAGTGTAAAGCTTAGCTCAAACGCCACTGACCCTTTTACTGCATTATATCCAAGTCTCCTAGTCCTGGAGGCTTCCCCTCCCTACCCAAGGTTATCCTCTGGCCACCACTCCCTTAAGTTATGCTCATTTCAGGAGGGTTGCAGCCCCAGTGGATCCACTAGAGTTCAGACTCCATTCACTATGCAGGACCTGAGCCAAATTAAAATGGGACAAGGGAGATTTATAGAGGACTCTGAGAAACACATCAAAGCGTTCCATAAACTGGAATTAACATTTGAACTCACCTGCAGGGACCTATTAGTCATACTAGGGCAACCTCTGTCTAGAGGCAGAATGTGACTCCATTATGGAGGCAGCCCAGCAATTTGCAAACACGATGCAAATGACTGACCCTGGTGGCTACCCTGTGGGAATCACTGCAGTTCCCCAGGTCGATGCCAACTAGGATTACAATACCCATGGGAGTATGTGGACAAAGAACCACTATTCCTCTGTCTGATAGAGGGAATGAAGGCTAGCAGAAGAAAGCCTGTGAATTAAAGCAAATTGTCCTTAATAGATCAAGACCCTCTTGAAAACCTCACTGCTTTCCCAGAGAGGCTACAAAGAGCCCTAATGAAACATACAAACCTAGATCCAGAGCCACCAGAAGGGCAACTAGTACAAAAGAACAATTTTCTAACTCAGGAAGCTCCAGATATTCAGAGGAAACTCCCAAGACAAGTACCCAACACCCATATGCCTGACATCCTCAAAATAGCTTTCTCTGTCTTTTACAACTGGGACCAGGAGGAAAAGGAACTTTCTCAGGAAAGGGAGAGGCAAAAGTAAAAGTGGCAGCTCCAACTGATGGCTGCCTTGCAAGTCCGCCAGCCTCCTCCATGTTGCCTTCAGAATATCCTTCCAGGTAACTGCCATCAATGCCGGAAGCCAGCCCACTGGAGGGCCAACTTCCTCAGTGGGATAAACTGCATGGCTTGTCCCCTCTATCACAAGCTCAGCCACTGGAAATGAGACTTTCCTGAGGACTGAAGGGTGCCCAGGACAGAATTGCAACCCCTCATGGCTTTGAGCTGAAGGGGTCCTTCCTACACTCCAGTTGGCTCCTGGATTGAACATCACTATTGAAGGAATGGAGCCAAGGGCTCTTTGAATGTGGCAGGAAGGACAATAAGCTTACCTATTTTCCCAGGCAATTATCCTCCAAATCCTGCCAGGTGATGGGGGTAAATGGGGTTTCCATAACCCAGAGGTTTATTCGTTCTCTGTGCTGCCATGGGGGAAAACTGTCTTTTCTCATTTGTTTTTAGTGATGCCAGAATGTCTTATGCTCCTTTTAAACAGAGATATTTTGTTCAGACTAGGGGCTCCATTAACCTTTCCTCCAGAGCCAACACCCCCTTTTTCAAATGCAATCTTATGTCTCAAGGAAACCACACACAAAGATGAACTACCCACGGAGCTTCCCATTAATCCAGAGGTTGGGGCCTCAGGAATACAAGAAAAGATCATAATGTAGTAATTCAGCTCAAGAATCCTTCTAGTTACCCTTGTAGAAGTCAGCTTCCTCTTCAGACAGAGGCCAAAGAGGGACTTCAGCCCCTTATTGAAAAAGTTCTAAAACATGGATTATTAATACCCTGTAACTCACACTGTAATACTTCCATCTTACCTGTTAAAATGAGCAAGAGAGAAAACAAGCTAGTCCAGGATCTGCAAATTATAAATGAAGCGGTAGTCTCAACAAACCCAGTGGTCCCCAACCCTTAAGTAATTGTAGAAGTACCTCCAGATGCTTAGTGGTTTTCAGTCTTAGACCTCAAAGACACTTTCTTTTGTATCCCCTAGACTCATTCTTCCAAACTCTATTTGCATTTTAGTGGACAAATAAAAAAGGAAGGAGTCAATAGCTCACCTGGACAGTG
Source organism: Homo sapiens (assembly GCF_000001405.40). NCBI lineage: Eukaryota > Metazoa > Chordata > Mammalia > Primates > Hominidae > Homo > Homo sapiens. Next base: position 3,855,689 of record NC_000024.10, on the reverse strand, counting down.
CTTTCACAAGGTTTTAGAGATAGTTCCCATTTGTTTGGGCAAGCCTTGACTAGAGCTTTGCAGGATCTAATGCTTGAGTGGGGAGGGCATCTCCTACAGTATGTAGAAGACCTGTTAATCTGCTCCCCAACAAGAGAGTTGGGAATCCAACATCTAGTCCAGACACTAAATTTCCTCACAGACAGAGGGTACAAGGTGTCCAAGGCCAAGGCACAGCTTCTAAGACAAGATGTCCAAAACCTGGGGATAGTCTTGACCCCCAAAGTATGTAAGCTCTCCCAGAATAAATACAGGTCATCCTTAGAATACCTATCCCAATCACCTGAAAGCAACTTTGTGCCTTTCTGGGGATCACAGGATTTGCAGGCTTTGAATACTGGGGTATGGTGGTATTGCTAAATCCTTTAATCAGGATCTAAAAGAAGGGTCTAATAGGGACCCACTTATCTGGGAAAAGGATCAGGAGCAAGCCTTTAGGTAGCTAAAAACTGCCCTGTCACATGTCCCAGCCCATGGGCCACCCATACTAGCCAAACTAGGCTTTTGTCACTGAAAAACAAGGTTTAACTCAAGGGGTTCTAATTTAAACCATCAGGCCAATACAATGTCCTGTTGGTTACTTTTCAAAGAACCTAGACGTAGTAGCATAAGGTTGGCCACATTGCTTCAAAGTAGTGGCTGCAGCAGCCCTCTACTTGAGGAAGTCCTCAAACTCACCATGGGACAGTCAGTTTGGCTCCTGAGTTCCTACCAAATAGGCACCTTATTAGACATAAAAGGGTCATGATGGCTCACTGACAACAGATTGCTGAAGTGCCAAGTCTTGTTGTTAAAAAACTCACAGGTAACAGTTGAGTAGTATTCCACCCTTCACCCAGCCTCCTTACTCCTTACTACCAGGAGACAATAAGTCAACACATTTGTGTTGTGAGACACTTAACCAAGTTTATGCCAGCCATGAAGACTTAAAATATCAGCCAATAGATAATCTGTATGAAATATGGTTTTCAGATGGGAATAGCTTTGTCAGAAATGGAACTAGACATACAGGGTACACTATACTGTGCCTTCACCAAGTCACAGAGGCTAAAGCTCTTTCCCCAGGGACCTCAGCACATCTAGCCAAACTTATCATGTTGATCAGAGCCCTAAAACTAGGGGAAAGAAAGAGAATCTACACAGGTTCCAAATATACCTATCTGGTGCTTTACACCCATGAGGCTATCTAGGAGGAAAGGGATACCTAACAGCTCTGAATACTTCTATTAAGTACAGGCCTCAAATCTTAGAGCCACTAGAGGCTCTTCATCTGCCACAGGAGGTGGCAGTAGTACACCACAAAGGACACCAGAAAAGCTCTAATGAAACTGCACAGGGAAATAGTTCAGTAGACCAAAAAGCTAAAGAGGTAGCTATCTCAAAAGATACCCTCATGGGGGCCTTACTCCCTTCACTCCCCAATGAACTTCCCACTCTCTAATACACTAAGGAGAAAAATAGATTTGGCCACACAACATGGGTATCTAAAAGAAAATTAATGGATGGTACAGGTTGGGAGAACTTCTCCATCTACCTAAACCCTCTGAATGGAAATTCATCAAGACTTGGCCACTTTGGAAAACACAGTCTAGGGAAAATTTGTAAAGGGGTGTTCAGTGGGAAGGGACTAAAGAAAACTATTCAACGGTTTGTCAAGCACCTTGTGCACCATAAATAATCCCCAGAGAGGGAAGCCCACTCCATTAATAAGTCCAGTCCAAATGAGAAGTGCCTACCCTGGGCAGACTGGTAGATGAATTTCACTCAGCTCCCTGCACACTGCAGTATAAGTACCTCTTGGTCTGTGTAGACACCTACATTAGGATGGGTAGAAACCTGCCCCACAAGGACTACCAAGGCACAAAAGATTACTAAATTTTTCCTAAAGGAACTTATTTCCCAGTTCAGGCTCCCCAGGTTATTGCAGAGCAACGGTGGTCCTTCCTTCATTTCCCAAGTGGCTCAACAAGTTAGTAGTGCCCCAGGAATAAAGTGGTACCTTCACTCTGCCTGGAGGCCACAATCTACAGGAAAAGTGGAAAGAACTAACCAAACCTTCAAATGCATCCTCTATATACTCTATCAGGAAACTGCACAGCCATGGCAGTACCTCTTATCCTTAGCCCTCCTCAGATCTGTGTTGCCCCTAAGGCTCCCTTGCAATTAAGCCCCTTTGAGGCCTCATATGAAAGGACATTCCTATATTTTGACTTCTTACTAGGTGAAGAAATTGCCACAATCACCCAGGTATGCCTCTTCTTTAGCAAGCTTCCAAAAGGCTCTCTGGGAATATGGGTTACAAACAAACCCAAAATTTGAAGGGAAAAAATATCCACTTCTATATCCTCCAAGCTCACCAGATACCATTAAAGCTTAGAAGGATGGAACCTAAAATTCCCAACTAACTCCAGTCTGGAAGGGCTCTCTCACTATTCTATTATCTACCCCCACAGCCATTAAAGTACCAGAGATTGCCAGCTATATACATCACACTCAAGTGAAGTCATGAAAAATCCCCAAAACACCAGAGCCAGAACTAGAAACCTCAGCTCCAGAATAGACTTGTGAGTCACTGGAAGATCTGAAATTACTTTTTAAACAAAAAGATAAGTAATCCCACCAACATCCTTTCACCTCAAAATAAGGTGATCCCAATATTAGGAATTTTGTTCACAATTGCTGTGATTGTTATCACTATTTTACCCTAACTGTAACTTGTACACCATCAAGAGTTCCAGTGGCAGCTTTCTTTGTGACCAATTTATCCCACCTTAGATCACCATGGGCCCACACCTGCTTGTTCTTATTTTCATCCCTTTACTAATAGTGCACTATCATCCTGATTTCCCATTATTGAAAAAAGCTCAGCAATCCAAAGCACAGGATTCCCTTGCTCCACTAATTGCTGGCTATGTACTAGCTCTTCAACTGAAATACCAGTGAGAACTTATCCAGCCTCACCCAGAGACTGGACAAACATAGAGGCAGAATTACATATTTCCTATCAATGGGACCCTAATCTGAAAGGAATGATTGGCTCTGCAAATAGCCTTCTTACAAAAATAATGCAAGATATTCCTGATATCCTCAAGAAGCCTCCCATTTTTGGATGCATATTTACTAATATTGCCTTAATGAGGATAGCTCTTATGTGTGTTATGGCCAAGAGAAAAAATGGGAAAAAAAGAGAAAAATGGAACAGATGTAGATGCTCTTCCAAATACCATGCGTAATGTTACTTTTACTGTAGACTTTAAACAACAGACTTACCAAACATACCCTCACAACCAATTCTGCCAATAATCAAGATTCCCCAAACCTCCAAATATTACTTTTTCTCAGGGAAATTTTCTGACAAATTCACCCACTTTTTCCAGGAATGCCAAAGCCCATGCAGTACTCAAACTTTCTGGTACAGCCTGCTGATTATACCCAATGTCTGCAAACTGCCAACCTCAGCTCTACCACAGAATATGTTCTACGGACCTAACTCAAAATACTTTTTTGGGGGGGGCGGGTGGGGGAAGTGGGGAGAATAAAACCAAGGAAACTAGTCAGAGCCAAACTCCATGCATCCAAGTCTTAGCAAGCATAGCTAGCCACTAGCTACCTGGTGATGTCAGCAACCTTGGGATTTTATGGAGCTGTCCTCACTCCCTTATTTCATTTTGACATCTCTACTTGGCTTAAAACCGGAGGAGCCTTCCTTTCTATATTTGTGGCCAATCATTTCATTAATGTCTCCCCACTAACTAGACTGGAACTTGTACCATAAGCTATGTATCCCAGGACACCTTCATAGCCCTTGGCAATCTCTCTCTTCTAGTACCAATCTGTGGGCATTCCATCTTGCCCAGGGTCAGGAGGACTGACCAATTAATTCCCCTTCCTGTGGGACTTGACATTACAACTGGTACAGGCACTGGAATTGCCACAGTCACACAAGCCTCTTTGACCTATATAGCCAACTTTAAAAAGATATAGCCAACAATATTGGTGCTATGGGTAAAACCTTAACAGCTGTACAAGAACAAATAGACTCTTTAGTATCCATAGTACTCCAAAGCAGCTGAGGACTAGGTATGTTAATAACAGTGCAGCAAGGAATTTGTTTAGCCTTACCCTTAGATAAAAAATGTTGCTTTGGGTAAATCAATCAAAAAAATACAAGATATCAGGCAACTTATAAATTGAGACTCCCATTTACGGGAACAAACCACTCAGGGCTAAATTGTGAAAGAACCTAAAAATGGTTCTTCCGGGTTCCTCCCTTTTTAATATCACTTGTTAGTCTCCTACTTTTGCTCCTTTTTGGTTCGTGTCTTCTAAATCTACTAACCCAGTTTGTCTCCTCTTGTCTTCAGGCCATCAAGCTACAGATGATCCTTAGTAAGGGATACCATACCCTCAACATTTGAGAGTCACCCTCTACAGAGCATCCCTAGATGCCCATCAGTAGAACAGAACAGAAGTGAAATCATGCTTCTGTCACCCTTAGACCTGGCTGGATAACACTTTCATCAACTTACAGAGCTACCCTGCCCTGACAGCTAGCAAGAGGCCAAGACCCACAGAACAACCACCACAGCCTCCCTGTCAGCAGGAAGCAGTTACAGAAGATGGACCTTCATTCATTATCCCAAAGAATTGGGTCTTAGACTTGAGCAGGGAAATGTTACAGTCGATAATTTAGCAGACAATAGCAGGACAGGAGAGCAGAAGAGCACCCTGCTGCCAAGAATGTCAGGCGACCATCAGGTGAATCACGTGATAGTCAAGTGCTTGTTAAACTGCCTCTCTAAAGTGATAATTAGTCACAGCCAGTGCCATGGAAAGACAGTCTCCCAATAGATAGAAAAAAACCTGAAGCTGGTGATCAGTAGCTTCCCAATAAGATCTTAGGAGTTGGATGAGCAGGCTTAAGCATGTGCACTAAGAGGCAAAATGGCAGAGTTTAACCAGTATATGAAATTCCCCTGGAAATGCTCAACTGGTAAGGAAAAAAATGCCTCAAAGGAGGTTGTGCACAACTTCAGTAAACACATTGTGTATATAAGCCCTCACAAGTGCTGGCAGACCACTGTGTATATGGACAGACTGACCCAATGAAAAAATTGAAAGGAGAGAAATGCAAACCATAGATCAATGCCAATGTATAAAACTCTAAATCCAGGGCTAAGCAAGGCACTTGGATCTCCAAAGTCACCCTCTTGTCCCTCTTCGAAGTGTACTTTGCTTCCTATCATTCCTGCTCTAAAACTTTTTAATACACTCTCACTCCTGCTACAAAATTTGCCTTGGTCGCTCACTCTACCTTAAACCTACTTCTGCTCCTTGGCTGAATTCTTTCCTCCAAAGAGGCAAGGATCGAGTTTGCTGCAGACTGTATGAATTTGCCAATAGTAACTCTACCATGAGGACTGGGCCACACAATGCTTTCACAGTGTATTTTACTAAAAATACATACTCAGAGGCTAGTGGGCAACCCAATGCCAGTTAGCCTATTCTGTGATCAGCCCATCCTCCATGGGCATCTTATCCCCCAGTGGGGAGTGTTTATATAGCATCTAGGTGTCCAAAACCATGCTTTTTTTTTTAATCCAAGCACAAAAGAAAACAAGTAGCTCCCTGCAGTAGTAACCATTTACTTTAAGCAACTGCCATCAGCGACCTCTAAAAGTGTATTTTTTTCTTAGCCATTACACATACCAAGGTCAAGTTTTTCACAATGCAAAGTAATTTCTGGTACCCCTAAAGGCCAAAGGGATTGGGTAATGCAATGCACAATAGGCTGAAGATGGCAAAGAGGAAAGAGAAATAGGTTGAATTAAATATGATAATAAATTTTAAGAAAAGAAACAAACATAGGTGCTAAGCACATGTTTTGTTTTGTTTAAGAAAAAAAATGTTTTAGTCCACCTAAAGAATTTCCAAAAATAGGTTGCAAAAAGAAAAGGCAGAAAGGTATGAAAACCATGAATTTGTACCATGAGTGAACCCTAGGCCTTTGGGTGATAATGGTTTGACAATGCAGGTTTATTGATGTAACAAATGTACCACTCTGGTTTGGAATTTTGATAGGGGTGGAGGCTGTGCATACATAGGGCATGGGTTATGTGGGAAATTTCTGTAACTTCCACTCACTGTGGCTGGGATCCTAAAACTTTGTCAGGAAATAAAGTCTATTTTATAAATATATAGTCCAGTATTCCTCAAATATAGATAAAGGAAAACAAATAAAAGGCAATTATATCCATCAATATGTGGGAGTTTGCCCAGGAATTCAAGAGTTATGTAACTTTAAAATATCAATTTTATTCACCATATTAATAAAATAAATGTTTAAAATCAAATGATAATTTACATGTAGGAAAATAATTTAAATAATGTAATATATATTTATTATAAAATCTCTCAGCACACAAGGAGCAAAAAGAAACACACTTAATCTGATAATGGGTGTATTTGAATTTCCTACAACTAATATTACACTCAATGGTGACATGTTGAACATTTTCCCTGAAAATTGAACACAAGGCATGATATTGAATCTTACCACTTTTGATCAACATTGTACTGGAGGTCTTGTCCATGTTGTAAAAGGAAAAAAAGGCATAAAAACTGAAAAAAAAAAACTGTCTGTTTGCAGATGGCATTATTGTTTTTATAGAAATCAAAAAGAAAGCTAAAAAACAACTAAAAGTACTTATAGGTGAGTTTAGCAAGATCACATGATAAAACATACATATAAAAATTATAATGAGAATATAAGAAACAGAAGTGATATTGAAAAATATCTTTTATAAAGTAATAAAAATCAAATATTTATGAATAAATTTAATCAGATATTTGCAGCACATTCACACTGAAAACTATAGAATATTCCTAAAAGTACATTTTTAAAAGAACTGAACAAATATGAAGATTTATTGTGTTTATGTGTTGGAAGATTCAATATGTTAAAACATCAATTCTTCCTAAATTGAATTATAGATCTAAAGCAACTTTTTCCAAAATATTATTAGAAATTAACAGTTTATTTTAAGGATCTGTTATTGTCAAAACAATCTTTAAAAAAGCCAAATTTGATGGAATTACACGGTCTGATTTTAATGATTACCATGATACTGCAATAATAAGAACAGTATTTTTGGGCATAAGAATAGGCAAATGGATCAAGGAAACAGAATAAAAAGTTTCAATATTACTATAATGTGACCCAAATCAATGATATTGAGAATTCAAATTCTTTTTTACATATGCTGATGGAAGAAATGGATGTCCATGTGAAAAACTTCTGAAAAGGCGTGAACCTTGATCCTTAATTCATGCCACTCACAAAAATATTTTAAGATGTATGGCAGAGCCACATTTTTTTGTATGTGTGAGATGGAGTCTCACTCTTTTGCCCAGGCTGGAGTGCAGTGGCATGATCTCAACTCACTGCAATCTCCACCTCCCGGGTTCAAGCGATTCTTCCGCCTCAGTCTCCTGGGTAGCTGGGACTACAGGCACATGGCACCACACCCGGCTAATTTTTGTATTTTTAGTAGAGACAGGGTTTCACTATATTGGCCAGGCTGCTCTCGAACTCCTGACCTTGTGATCCGCCAGCCTTGGCCTCCCAAAGTGCTGGGATTACAGATGTGAGCCACCATGCCGAGCTAGTAGAGCCACATTTAAAAACTGAATCTATAAATCTTCCACTAGAATAAATAGGCAAATGTCTTCACACCCATGATATAAGCAAAGTGTCTTAAATAGCACATGAAAAGCAATACCAAACATTTTTTAAAGTATTAACAAAAATTCCTCAAATAAAAATTTCTGCTCATCAAAAAGTACAATTTAAAAAATGAACAGAGATGCCACTGCTATAAATTATATTCACTCTATATTCAATGAAAGCTTTGTATCAAGAATGAATGAAAGTCCCATATAATCCAATAAGATAAAACAAATCTATTAAAATTTTAAAAAGCTTAAATGCATAGTTCACTGAGAGGACATATGAATAACCAATATGCGATGAAAAAGTGCTCAGTATTATTGGTCATCAGAAAATTGCAAAATAAAACAAAGATATATTACCTCACACCCACATTGATTGGCTACAAAAGGATTGACTAATTCAAATATTAGTGATGGTGTGGAGGAACCAAAGTTCTTGTGGTTGTTTGTAGGTTTTTAAAACGGTATAACTACTTAAAATAACCTATGCCGCTTTGGAAGTTTCTGATAGAATTAAATACACATTTGTCCTGTGATACAGAAATTAGCCCTTCTAGAAATTTACCCAAGTAATATGCAAAAATAATCTACAAAAAGATCTGTACATGAATGTTTATAGCAGCTTTATTCTTAACAGCCAAACCTAGAAAGAAGCCAAATATTTATCAGCATATAATGGATAAATGAAATGTGGTTTATCCTTATAATGAACTAATATTGTAAAATACAAAAGAATGAACTACTTATACGTGCAGCAACATGACGGAATCTGAGAATATTATGCTCAATGAAAAAAGGCCTGGCACAATATAGTACAATTATCTCTCACTATTCACAGGGAATTGGTTCTAAAGCCCCCTGCAGATATCAAAATCCATGAATGCTCAAGTCCCTTATATAAAGTGGCATAGTGCAGTTGAATCCGCATTTGCAGATACAGAGGTCCAGCTATACATATTATATGGTTGCATTTATATGAAAATGTCAAATAGGCAAAATTAAATATTTTAATAAAAATCAAAGCAACAGTTTCCCAAGAGAGATGGTTCAGAAATTGATGGGGAGATACCACACACAAGAAAACTTTCTGGGGTTATGAACATGCTCTGTATCTTACTAAGGTTATGAATGACATAGTTCTAAGTCTTTGACTCATTGAATTTCACGTTTATAATGTATGAATTCTACTATATTCAAATTACAAGTGTAAACCATAGATATAAATTTTATGTATGTAAGCATAAAAAATACATTCAAATAAAAAATACAGAAGTAATAAAAACACACTTTCCTATCATACAGTATCAAATGGAGACTTCCAATCACATTTATAAGTCATCTTTTATATTTTGGACAGATATTACTCAGAATACATTCTCCTAAATTTAAGGACAATCCACTTATATCAATTGAATGCTGCAAACCTGGAGATTTATAGGGATTCTAAAGAATTTTTTTATCATTTCAATTTAATTTTCAAAATCCAATTCCTAGCATGTTACTGACACCAAACATTTAATAAGGATGTTCAAGCTGGAGTATACAAATTCTGCCAAAATATGTCTGATGCTTACACAGACCTCAGGAGTTCAATGAACAAAATAAATTCATTTTACAGTCTCATAACTCTATATAGGACCCTCAAATTTGTTGTAGATAACAAATTCTCAGTAGTACTACTCATTTTGTACAACCACAGGCCATATAAATGTGGTGTAGCATGACACATAAATCAATTTTTTAAAGTCTTACTGGGAACTTAATCTTACTGAGATATTTTTATACCCATGTAGCATTTCCTGACACACACTTTTCATACATGGTCTCTGAGGATTTATTTACACCTGTTAGTTAACCAAACTCTTGCAAGTAAATTTGCATTTCTAATAGCCCTGGAGATATTATAAAAAGTTTCTTCACAATATAAATTACACATGCTTGTCAAGGCAATTTTTGACCCTGTATTCCCATAAAAGTGTCTCTATTACCATCTTATATCAATGCCCAGTAACATTCTGAATTACGATATTAAATGTCCCAGTCCTTTAACATCTCCTTATGAAGATATGTGAGAAACCATCAGTTTGAATGTGAATTTGTAGCTTTTTATAGATCAATAAGCTATATGGGTGTTACTTTGTTGATTGATGCCCACCCAAGTCTTCTGACATTGAAATTACAGAACAAAGACTTTAAAAAATGTTGCTGTGCCATTTATATGCTTTTTTTCTCATTGAGGGTAATCAATGATCATCAAATTATGTTCCATTCAATCATCTCATTAAGGAAGAAAAATCTACCTCCTTTAATAGGAGGCTTTTAAGGTTTTAACAAAACGATAGCAATGAACTTTTTTTCTTAGCCAGTGAACTCATTCCCAATCCTTAAATTTATTTCCTCAAACTGGTGGATCTAAGCTTTCTCAGGAAATCCTTAATCTTTTTAAGAAATTCAAGATTAAAAAATTAGTCCTAAGCACAAACGATGCCTTAAAAAGCCCCGTCGATATGCACAAATATAAATTTCAAGTAAAAGGTTTTTAACACATCAAGCCCCCAATTCCAATTAATTTAATCACTACAGTTTAAAGTCAAGTAGCCTCATATAATTCTCTCTCTACTCTATAAACATGTCATTTTCAGGTACGATCTTATTTCCATAGCATTTCCTCAGCCATGTGAATGGCTGCCAGAGTGTTACAAAATTTAACAATTCACAAAGAAGGCTCCCTTCAGTATATAGTTAGACATAGTTAACACCAATCTTACAGGTTCCTAGACAGGTACATTCCTTACCATTCGAAATTTCTGGTTTCCTATTATTGAACAGAATATTGAGGGAAACGTTATTAGTTTCCTATTGCTGTTGTAACAAATTACCACAAACTTAATGGCTTAAAACAGCATACCTATATTATATTATGGATCTGGAAGTCAGAAGTTCAAAATCAGTCTCACTTGCCTAACATCAAGGTGTCAGCAGAGATGGTTCTTTTGGGAGGTTCTAAAGGAGAATGTTTCGTTGTCTTGCCTTTGCCGACTTCCAGAGACCACATGCATTTTTATGTTTATTTTATTATTTTGCTGTTGGCTTCTACCTCCGTCTTGGAGTCCAGCAGAATAGCATCATTCAATTGCTCTCTCTCTCACTCCTTCTGTAGCCCCATCACCTTCTCTCCTTTTGACCTTTCTGCATCCTTCTTATAAGGATCACTTTAATTACATTAGGCTAACTCAGATACTCCAAGATAACCCCCCATCTCAAGATTCTTAACTCAATCACATCTATAAAGTCCCTTTGGTCATACAAGGTAGCATATTTACAGTCTCTGGCTGTTAACATGTGGACATCTTTGGAGGGCCATTATTCTGTCTACCAGACTTGTTTGCCGTTTACGCTTTGGATGGTATAGATATTCTTTCAAATCTCTAATTGTTATTTAGAGAGGCAGTGAATGCTTACAAGAAATACGAGGAGGTATTTCTTCTACTTCCATTTATGTATAAGCAATGAGGGTACAAATTGTGCTTTTCGGTATTTCCAATATTTAGACATTTCTCTTTGAAAATATAAAGGAAACTGGCCGCACGTGGTGGCTCATGCCTATAATCCCAGCACCTTGGGAGGCCGAAGCAGGTGGATCACCTGAGGTCAGGAGTTTGAAACCAGCCTGGCCAACATGGCGAAACCCCATCTCTACTAAAAATACACTAAGTGTTAATGCTAGAGCACCTCCCTAAATTTACTTCTGCATACCAAGAGAGTTAAAGGTTTCCCAAATAATCCTCCATCATTTTATCACATTTCCCTGTAATTGAATCAATTATCTTTATAGTAAAAAAGCCCCATATAACTGCCTTCTCCTCGTTAAATATGAATCAATTATTTATAAAAATTCACCTATAGCAGTAAAAAAGATAGGTCTGCAACATGTTAGACAATTGATGATTATTTCACTTTGTAGTCATTTCTCTCTAATGTGACATTTCTGTAGACAGTTTGAACACACTTAAACATTTTCTTCACTTACAAGATCCTTAAGAGAGGCTTTTATGCCTTACAGTCACACAAAAATTGAAAAGGAATTGTCTGTATCACATAAATTCTGCAGGCTTTTCAAGGTCATCATGGAAAATTTTTCCCAAAGCCTCATAAAACTGTGCCTGTTACCTCTATTTACATAAACTCTATAATAGTGTGTATTATACTTTTGAGTAATAGAAAAGTTTGAACTCTCCATATTAAGATGAAAAGTTTCTTCTTGTAATTTTGTAACACATTATTGACCAATTATGTACAAGGAATCTGGCATATTAACTAACGGCCCATTGTCTCACACTGTATCTGAACACTATCACTTCAACAATATTGGCTTCATTTAACTTCACAATGATATGCCTGCTATCCATGCAGGTAAGCAAACATTTTCAGTGTCTTCATTACAAAAAGCAATATCTCTTTATCGAAGGGCCACTTTTTTGGACTTGTAGAAATTAAGGCCCTTGTATCATGTAATACAACCATTCCTTTAATTTTCTCTAATAACCTGCAGCAATTGAATAATTTAAGAGAATTCCTTCCTCGCCATTTAGATATGCAAATTTTACGTGTGATATTGTTTTACAAAATTTTAACTTTAATGACATGTTTAAAAATTTAAGTTTGATTATGGTATTGTGTTTATGTTTTCTGGAGGAGTACTTATCTTTTTGAGGAGCATATAGAATATTGACGGATTAAGTAATATAATGTAATATAATTTCTGAAATTGGTTTAATAACAATGTAAAAAGGGAAGTGACAACATCAGTGTGGGTATATATGAGACAAGAGTGCTCATGAGTTAATTGTTGGGGATGAGTTGGGGATGAGTTATGAGTACATCCAGGGCTTCATTATATTATTCTCCTTACTTATATATGTTTGAAATTTCCTGTAAAGTGCTTTATTCTGTTTGTTTTGTTTTTACTTCCATTTGGCAGGGTCAGTATTCTCATACTCCTGGTTCGGAAACAACAGTATCAACACGACCACCACATTAGAGGCTGTCTGAAGTTGACTGGATGCCCCACAAGCACCAAAAACAAGTGACAACTGGATTTAGTGAAAGAAGATCTGTTACATAAAGGAGGTTCATATTATTAAAGAGATAACATCGGGAATACAAAGGCAAATTTAACAAACCTGAATGGCACAATAATGAAAACATTTCTTGTCTGTATCTTGACATGCACTTTGTAAGTATTTTTCCAAATTTTCTGACTATGTCATAACCCTTTTTTCTCGAAGCCATAAAACTTGAACCACCTCTTCGATGTATGCACCATGTTGTGCTAGTCTGGTACCTTGCTGTATTCATCTTTGCTATAATGCAGTTCTCTTTCATTTAGTGTCTCTCTCTGTTTCCACTGCCAACTCCCTAATGTTGAATTAGCTGGTCTCATAATTAACTGACACAGTTCCATGTAAACAAGCAGTGAACCATTTTTATAACAGACATTTATTTTATTTCAATTCGTTTTCATTTTCATATTTCTATAAATTTAAGGGGTACAAATACTGTTTTTTACATGAATGTATTGCATAGTGGTGAAGTCTGGGCTTTTAGTGTAACCATCACCTGAATAGTGTACATCGTAGCCATTGAGTAATTTCTTATTTGTCATCCTCCTCCCACCCTTCCAAGTCTTCAATATTTATTATTTCCACATTCTATATCCATGTGTACACATAATTTGTCTCCCATTTATAAACAAGAACATGTAATATTTGACTTTCTGTTTCTGAGTTACTTCTCTTAAGATGATAGCCTCCAGCTCCATCCACACTTCTACAAAAGACATGATTTCATTCTTTTAATGGCTGAATAGTATTCCAGTGTTTGTGTGTGTGTGTATGTGTGTGCATGTGTAGTTTGTGTGTATATATACCACGTTTTCTTTATCCAATCATCTGTAGATTGACATTTAAGTATTCCATGTCTTTGCTATTGTGAATAGTGCAGTGATATGCAAGCATAATATCTTTTTCATGAAATGATTTATTTTCCTTTGTGTAGACATCCAGTATTGGAATTGCTGGATTGAATGGTAGCTCAACTTTTAGTTATTTGAGAAATAGCCATATTGTTTTCCATAGAAGTTGTAATAATTTACACTCCCACCAACAGTGCACAAGTGTTCCCTTTTCTCTGCATCCTTGCCAACATCTGTTGTTTTTTGCATTTTTAATAACAGCCAGTCTGACTGGTTTGTGATGATATCTCATTAAGGTTTTAATTTGCATTTATCTGATGACTAGTGATATTGAGTATTTTTTTCATATGCTTGTTGGCCATTTTTATCTCTTCTTTTGAAAAATGTCTATTTATGCCCTGTGCCCACTTTTAATGCTGTTGTTTGTGTTTTTGTTTATTTATTTCAGTTCCTTGTAAATTCTGGATATTAGTCCCTTGTTGGGTTCATAGTTTGTAAATATTTACTCCCATTTTGCAAGTTGTCTGTTCTCTGTTGATTATTTCTTTTGTTTTGTAGAAGATTTGAAGATGAAGTCCCATTTGTCTATTTTTGTTTTTGTTGTTTGTGCATTTGAGGTCTTGTATTTTTTGCCAAGACCAATGTCAGGAAGAGTGTTCCCTGGATTTCTTCTAGTGTTTTAATAGTTTCGGGGGTTTTTTTAATCCCTCTTGAGTTGACTTTTGTATAGGTTTTTTATTTGTTTCTAATATCCCAATAAACATTTAGGTAAAAAAAAAAAAAAAAACTCAGGAAATTAATAGGACCTCTAGCTCTAAGAGCACATTTGGGGGAGGAAGAAAACAGAATTATTTCTCAGTCAAAGGCCCAGCATTCTCCTGCCTGCCAAACATGTAAGTTGGCATGCGTGACTAGTGCTTCCTGGAATGTGGTGCTCCTGTGGCCCACAGTGGCGCAGCTACCCTTGTCATCACATCATAAACAAGGAAGCAGAAATCATTATATATATGCTATTAGCTCAGGAAAAGTATAAACCGTTAACTTGACAAGGTTTTTGTATTTATATTATGCATTAATACAGAAGAAGTTAACAACATAATCTTAATGAACATTTCTTTGGTTCAACATAATATAAATGAAAAATCTATAGATGAATTCAAAGGAATGCTCTTTAAGACTAGTTGTCTCTTACACACATCTAAACATTATTTAACACATTAACTCAAGAAATATTTATTGAGTGTCTCCCATGGGATGGGCAAGTTTCTAGGCACTGGAAATACAGTGGTAAACTAGGGAAACTAAGAAGTACCCTAATGGAACTTCTATTTTGTTAAAGAACTCAGACAATTCACTAATATAATCAACTTAATGCTTGAAGAATCACTGTCATGAAAAGAGAGAAAGTTTTCTAAGGACATTAATTTTCAGCAAAGACATTTTAGAAATGCAAACCTGGGGAGCTTGAGATCTTAAGACTTAAATTTAAAGTTCTCTTTCTTACTTGTCTTTCTTCCTTGCTGCCATTTCTACACATCCTTTGAAAGATCCCTACCACTCCAAACTAGCACGTAGTTTCTACACCCAGGGCCTTTCAGCCATGGTTTCATTCCCAGTTTAATGTCCCCAGGGCAAATATGTCTCCTCTTTCTCCCTCACAGGTTTATATTCCAGGTTCCAGAATTTTGAAAGAGTCTGTGAACTACATGACAATATATCCTCAAGAGACTTAATAACTTCTTTTTTTAAGAAATACAAACTTGTTGGTTAAATTGAATTTTGGTTAACTGTGTGTATCCTTCTAAATTCCTATAATTTGTTATTGCAATCCCTGTTAAAGAAAAAAAATTTTCTCACACTTGTTAAAATAGTAAAGAAGACATCATTCAAGACTATTGCAATAGGTGCCAAGATAATTGCAATAGGGGTCAAGATAATTGCAATCGGGAAGAGAGATGAGACTCAATGCCAAATACAGTAAAGATAGCTGGGGATGTACATCCAAAGAGCAGAGTGAGAAAATCAGTGGATGAAAAATTGCTAGGAGGAGACATTGAGGTTAGAGGGATTTTTGCTAACCCAACAAGAGGACCTTTGTAGAAGTCAGCAAACCAGGGTGATCAGATATTAATGGTGGAGAGATCCTTGCTAATTAAGCAAGATTTTTTGCTAAAACTGGGAGAGGCAGGTCAAAGACAGGGCCAAAGGAAGGGGCCTAGTTTGAAAGAAGGCTCGGAGGAGCCTGTCTACAGTTTAGCCAAGGACAGAGTTGTTGTCATACAGAATATGTCAAAGTATGTATAGAATTTTGAGTCACATCTGCTCTGAAGTTGAAACAAACAGGGATAATATAAAATATTGTTTCCCTCAAAATGCTACTACTTACAGGTAAACTAAAAAAAACATGTATTTAATGAGATCAGTAGAAATTCTAAGTTAAACAAATTCCTCTCACTTACTCAATAATATGGAATACCCTGGCAACTGTGCTATATTCTTCAGCATTTTCAGAAAATCACACCAGCCCTCAACAAGATCAAGCTGCATTTTTTTTTTTCAGATGCATTGTTACTCAGGCTGAAGTGCAGTGGTGGATCAAATCTCACTGTAGCCTCAAACTCCTGGCCTCAAGTGATTCTCCTGTCTCAGCCACCCAAGCAGCTGGGACTACAGGTATGTGCCACTATGCCTGGTTAACAAGCATGTAACTGAAATATATATATATATGACAGAGTCTCACTCTGTCACCCAGGCTGGAGTGCAGTGGCATGATCTCGGCTCACTGCAACCTCTGCCTCCCAGGCTCAAGCGATTCTAGTGCATCAGCCTGCCAAGTAGCTGGGATTACAGGCATGCACCAGCATGCCTGTAATTTTTGTATTTTTAGTAGGGTCACCATGATGGCCAGACTGATCTGGAACTCCTGGCCTCAAGTGATCTGTCTGCCTTGGCCTTCCAAAGTGCCGGGATTACAGATGTGAGCCACCATGTTCAGCCTGAACAATAATTTTTAAAGACTTATTTTAAATGTCACTATAATTCTTCTGTGACTTTTGTTCTATTATAGTAGACGAACTGGCTGGCTCTCTTGCTCATTTTTCCAAAGCAAAATATATGTGTGTGTGTATATATATATATACACACACACACATGCATATATACATACACACACATATATACACACACATATATATAAATACACACATATGTATGTGTTTTTTTATTGTTTTATATATATAAAACAATATTTAATTATTTTATATATATATATATAAAAGAATTAAAAAAACTGATGGACTCGTCTTTTGTCCACAACAAACCTATAATAACTTTTGTAAAACTGATGAAAAAAGGCCATCATTTTTTGTTTGCATTTGACAGGTGTAATGTATGCAGTTTACTAAAGTTTTTTGTTTGAGGAATATATTTTGACATACTGCATTTTATGAAGTGAGTATGTAAAACCCTTGTGCCCATTTCATGATTCTATTAGATTGTAGTTATGAAAAATGAAAAAAATAATATTTTAGCAATCCCGCATTTTATAAGAAAGAAAAACAAGTCTTATAAAACTTGGACACATATTAAGAGGAGTAGATATAAAGTTTGGATAAGTAAAAGTAGAAGTGATTCCTTAACATATTTGCATTGTGAGTTTGGGTGCACTTGACATTGGCCTGTCTCTCTAAAGGGGGAGAGCAATTTTATCAAAGGCCCAAAGTGGAACCAAGGCAGTACATGTATAACTGGGTTCTGCTCCCACTTTTGCCAATCTGACTCAGCATCAAAACCACCTACAATGCTTTGTTACAAATGCACTTTCTGGACCCCATTATCAGTACATATTGAGCCAATAGTTTATTCTACACAGTCCACCAGTGCAAATTTAGGAATAGCATCTTAGAACATAGGAAACCATTACATTTTAGAGTGAATAAGTGATAAACTGAAAAGATAGGTGCTTTTTTTTTTATAGCAGAACCCCATATTTGGCACGTCAGGTGGAAATTTCTACTCAGAAACTCTGTGGAGAAGAGGGGCAGGAGGTTAATGATTTTTCTTCTTTTTGTTTATGCTGTTGTGTTTTTAAATATATTATTTGATACAAAACTGATGTGTAATATACATGTTAATTTTAACACAATAATACAACAATCACCTATAAGTCCACTAGAGATAACCACTCTACTAAATCTTGTGTTTTTACTCTTTTGCTGTTTTTGTTACAGTTTTCTCACAAACGTATGTAGGCTTAAATAATGAAGTATTTAGGTAAGTTCTATAAAAACTTTGCCACACTGTAAATGATCCATGTTATTTTTTTTTTGCCCTCAATATTATGCTTTTAAGACTTTTCTGTGTTATGTGCAGTAATATTTTATGGTCTGATTTGCAATATTCCACTCTGTGAGGAAACATTAATTCAATTGTGTTTTTTCTGGTTGTTGGACATTTGGGCTATTTACATCATTTTGCCATTGTGAACATTACTGCAATAGACATTATGGACGTGTATCCCTTTGGATCCCCATACTCTCCAGGACTTGATATTATCAGATTGCTTAGTAGTTTAACAATTACAGGTAAATTACATTTTACTGTGTCTTAATATAAATTTCTTTGATTACTGAGATTGCTTAAATATGAGCTACTTTTTTATATACTGGATTGTTCTTTCTTGTTGATTTATGGCAGTTCTTTAAATAGTCTACATACGAATCTTTCTGTGCATACTAATCTTGTTTTAGTGATTCTTATTGCAAAAACATTCATCTACCTTGTGGCTTGTCTTTTCACTTCATGGTGTTTTTCATTTGTTTGTTTTGTTTCTGTTTTTTTTTTCAACTTTCATTATGGAAAATTTCAAATGTAGAAAAAGTTGACAGAATTGCATAATGAACCTCCACATACCATCATCCAGATTCAATGATTATCAATATACCAACATTCTTATATCATCTATAATTCACTCACACCCCACGAATGGCAAAAAGAAAAGAAATGTCTAACTACCCCATAAATTAATGCTATAAAAATACCATATTCACCCATATGTACTTGGCTGGTTTTATTTTTATGTTTGTATATTTGATTGTTTTGTTTTATTTTAGTCTGGGGCACTCTGGTATTGTGGCATCACAGTATCACAAATGATTTCAAGATGTTATAGAAAACTTAGAGAATTTTAAAAATTAAATTTATTCTATATTTTTGAAACAGACACTGAAAAGGTGATGTTTTAAAAGAAAGTATTTTATCCTCCAATTATTCTCAATATTATAATACAACCAAACATATTAAATAGTGTCCTGTGATTTTTATTACTAGTGCTTATTTTATAGAAAAACCATGGACTTGTGGATTGTGAAAAATAGCCAAAGATTGACTCATTGGAAGTTACAAGTTCCAACTTTTTGCATGGTGAAAATTAAAGTATGCAATCTAGATTTTTTTTAAATGTTGTAAACTAACTCTGCCTTCTGTTTATAATTAAATATACATATATATTTATTTTCCTGCTCTTTCTAAGAAATGCAAGCATCAACCCTGTAGTATTAGTATTGAACTGAAATCTATTAGAAAGTTTAATGTTTAGTTACTTTTACTCTCATTACATTGCTAACTAAAACACCGATTCAGATAATCACAAAATTCAATTTATATGTTTCTTAAAATACTGAATGCTTTTCTTTTAAAAAGTCATTTAGAACGGTAGCACTAAGCTTTAAAAAATCCTTTGAACTAACTTTGTGAAGAATGTTATTTCTCTGGGTTCCCAAGAACCCAAAGTACAACTATTTAAAAGTATTAATCATAATAATCATAAAAATAATGTGGCCTGGAGCAGTGACTTCTGCCTGTAATCCCAGCACTTTGCGAGTCTGAGGCGGGAGGAACACTTGAGGCCAGGAATTCAAGACCAGCTTGGGCAAAACAGTGAGACTCCCATCTCTACCAAAAACAAAAGAAAAAAAGAATGTGATCATATTAGTTTAAGATAATGGCATATTAGTTGTTATACAAATAATTTTGATTATAAAGGGTAATTTTGAATAATAATTGATTTCCAAGACCAAGGAGGATGGAAAATGGATATACGTCACAGCATTTGGTTTGCTTTGCTTTCAATTTCACACTCAATAAGCAAAGAACCAACAATATTTGGAAGCTTGTTTTAAGAGTTCTGCATCAGTAAAGCAGAGGCAATGAAAGTACACAGCTAGTCTATCCATCTGCTTATATCATATTTGGAAAAGACTATATTAAATATTTTGAAACTAATATGATTACAGAGCTGTCCATCATATTACTAAACTCCATATATTATTGCTGCATTTCTCTCTAATATTCAACATTTTTGATAGGAACAGTCTTGATTTAACTTCCATAAGAAATCATTGTTCTTAGTTACCTTAGAGGTGATATCATCTGCTGGAAAGGGTCAGCTCCAAGACAAGGAGAACAACAGATTTGGATTTTTTCTATCTCAGAAGATATAAGCAAACAAAACAAAATAACATATATGTTGTTTAGCATTGTTTTTCTCAGACTATGTGAGCTAGCTTGCAATGGAGTTGGGGGTGTTTTTCTGTTGAATTTATTTTAGTACTTCACACTTATTTTTAATTTTCACTTCCGTATCACTGAAAGAGCCCCAAGTTGGAAGTCAGAAAATCCATAATCAAGTATCTTTCTTGGTAATCTGGTATATTTGTTTTCTTATATGTAGCAAAGCAGTATTTTCTAGATCAAATCTAAGAATAATTTTAATGTAAGTTTTTGCTATTGTGTCACTGTATTTGGGCTGCTATAACAATATACTCTATATTGGGTAATTTGTAAATAATAGAAATATACTTCTCACAGTTCTGGAGGCTGGGAAGTTCAAGATCAATATACTAGCAGATTTTTGGTGAAGGCTTGCTCTCTTCTTCATAGATGGTGCCTTTTGCTGTATCCTTACGTGGCAAAAGGGCCCCCAAGCTCCCAAGAGCACAACTGCCATTCATGATTGCAGAGTCCTCATGATCTAATCAACTCCCAAAGTCCATACCTCTTAATATTATTGCATTGAGGATTAAATTTTAATATATGAATTTTTCAGGGACACACACATTCAGAACACAGCACTATTGTGTGTGTGTGTGTGTGTGTGTGTGTGTGTGTATAAAATAGACTTGGAATGTCTCGCATAGTTAAACATTAGGCCATTGGGTAGACACCAAGAGAAATGGACAGTAATGGCTCAAAAAGAATCTGAATTCTAAATAAAATGGGAAACTCCATCCTTTCTTTTCAATCTCTTAAGCCAATAGTCTTATCTTGCTTCTACGTTTTGCTTTAAGTTGGAGAAATTCTGAGACTGTAACTGCATATGCAAACAGAAGTTGAGGATACAGCCAGTTTTGGAGACTTAAAGGCAAAATAACTTGTTTTCTGTTTTGTTTTGTTTTTTATCTTGATGACCATAACCGTGAAAAAAAATGGAGATTGCTTCAAGGAATACTTTGAACAAGTATTTAGCTATTAAGGATTTTCCTCTTATGGAGAAGCTGTCAGATCATATGTTTCTTTTCATTTTCATGTTCTGATAAAAGGAGAAAAGGCAAGCAGAATTTAAAATATGTACATTAGATAAAAAATAAATTGCAAAATTTCCCCTGTATGCAGATACTTATCTAATAAGGAAAATCCATACAGAGTATCTTCAACTGTAGTTATTGATTTCAAATGGGCACAAAGAACTTACTAAGCAGTCACATAAGGTACTATAACAAGATTCCACAACAACATGTAGATTTCCCTACGCCTATAGTTCAGCAAATAAAATACTACCAAAACAATAAATCAGTTGGTTTTCTAAATATTTATAGTATGTTTACTATGTACCAAAGTAATGCACATCAACTCTAAAGTATCTAATGAACTCTAATAAACTCAGGTAATTACTAAAGTAGAATAAAATAAGCAGAGCTATAACTAGTAATCTTTCCATAATTTTACCATTCACATTTAAAATGGTGTTTGCTGTTTATTATTCATGTTATATTTACTGTTGCTAGTATTTTTTCTCATTTTCACATTGTTTCTTAAAAACTACAATTCTAAATACTGTACGTTATCTCTTTGTCATTATGGATGTAATTAATCCACAGTTGTTGAACATGTAAAGTGTCTTTAACTTTCTATGCTGTGAAAAATACTACAGTATATAGTTTTGTATACTTGTCTGTAAACACTTCTCTGATTATTTTTTCGGAATATAATCTTAACATTGAATAGCTTGTAAAAGAAAAGTACGTTTTTAAGGCAGTTACTAAATTTCCTTCCGGAAAGACTGCACAAATATGTTCTTACCAAAACTGTACAAGAGTATCACTTGGTTTCCTTACATCAACCAGCTTTGGCTATTATTATTATGAACAAAACATGATAATTTAGTAATTGAAGGAATTGTTCCTTTTCTTCTTTTAATATATATTTCTTTAGATATTGACATTTTATATAGGGACTATTTTAGTTTCATCACTTGTGAATTATTTGCTTGTGTCCTTCCAAGTATTCACTTCTAAAGAGTTAAATAAGTTACATGTGAAAGAGAAATCTGGTTTTAGCAAACAGTTGACACATATGGCCCAAGCTAACTCTTCACGGTACTTCATAGATGCAAAATAATTATTCCCTTAACTTTTATTTTATATGTACCGGGAGCTAAAATTCTTCCCTGAGATTACTTTGCAGTGTTTTAAGAATTCCAAAAGTGTTGGCATGTAACCTCGTATAATGTGCCTTAACTTAGTATGCCAGATTAATTGTAGGGGAAAATGCAGTGAATAATCAGCTTAGTGAGAAACTGCGTCATTAAATTGCATCTAAATGAGAATGCATCACTGTTCCTATTCCTGAACTTGGGTTATGTTACATTTTCCCCATATAAAACAATATCTTGGTAAGTATCCATACTTGATGCTACCTTAGTCTTTACCATTTTATACGAAGCTGTTGAGCTAAAATAAATAGACAATTATTTTAAAGCTGTAGGCAATTTTATTAATGACTCTAATCAATGATAGAAAAACAAAACATGTTTGTAAGAATAGGCTGTTATTGAAATTCAAAGAAACAATTTTAATTCTCAAATATAAGGAAAATATGCCATATAAGGATGCATATTCACAACAATAATCCTACTTCCCTAGCTACACTTCCAAGTCTAAGACAGTATAGCCCTAAGTCAGTCACCATTGCAATGCCATGCTTCTTATGTTCTTCCTTCTACTTATTATGTTCTCATTTATCCCCAGAAACTCTTCGCATTCTTCAATACCCACTTTGAGTATCATCCTCTCTGTGGAAGTATTTCAAAACTTCCTCTCCCACAACACTAGCGTACATTGTTCCATTCATGGTGATTTGTAAATGTTTCTAAGTGTCTGTTTCTCCAATCTCTTATTAAATTCTTTGATAGAGACTTTGTATTTACCTTGTATGTCTAGCACCTTGCAGGTTTTGATATATTAAAGATATTCAACAGCAATCTGTGAAATGAATACATTAACTGATGAATTAATTAAATAAAAACTGGGAAGTATTTAAATACATGTATAATTTGAGCTTTCAAAAGAAACATTGGACTATATTTTCCCCATTAATATATCAGTTTTTAAAAACTGTATTTCTTATTTTATACAATAATAAGTCTGTGACTTTATCTAACTAGGTAAAGGAAGGTGAAGAGCCAATTATCAGATTAATGAAATTAGAAAGAGCATTTTTCACATAACATTTTTTTCTAATATTTCATTATTCCTTAAGAATGAAAAATATTATATTTAATTGGCCTTTTTACTCTTTGCCATTTTATTTTTTTTTTTTTTTAGCAGTTTTGGAAGTACTGCTTGATACTCTTTTCCCATTCTCTGATAGGATGCAATTCAATCTCCATTTACTGCATTTGTATTCCAAGTATTTCACCAGTACTGGGAGTGGGGACAATGATGTAAGGCACAGTCTGCACTCTCAAGACATTTATAATCTATTGGAGGAATTATATGTATATAACAATTTTACAATTTTATGGTGTAGTTAGTACGATGAATAGACTATCAACATATATCTGGGAAAGGGATTGTTAATTTTACCTGGAGCTTTCAATGAAGAGCATATAATTCAAGAAAGCATTAAATGAAAGTAAGACCTCAAAGAAAGAGAGCAGAGGAAAGAAAGAACAAGGGGAACTATAGCATGAATTTGTAACATTGATGATCTACAACTATACTCTTTTAAAATGTTATATTAGAAATAGAAAGAGAAGATTGAGAATTATAACAAATTAGTGTAGCTTTTGAATTCCATGTAATTGAGTTAAGACTTTACATTCAGGAGTCAGCAAATATTTTTAAGCACAGAAATTGCAGAAATTGTTTTATGCTTAAGAAAGTCAACTCTGGCAACAGTGTGAGTAGAGCAAATAGACTTCAGCATTTGGAACTTTGAAGAATTAAGAAGCTGTGGCAATAGAAATGATCCATAATTACCTAGACATGATGGAGGTAGAACTGATAAATCTGGTGACCAGTTGGATAATAGAATGCAGTCAGATTTCTAGACTCAGCAATTCAAATGAATGACAAGTATCATTAACCATAAGAATACACAATACGTTTTTACAAAAAACTTATTCAAAGTGAAAATGGTATTAAAGAATGCATTTCATGATGCAAGAGCCATGCAGAAACTTATGCCTTTTACTTATCCCTGTTTAAAAGCCATAGAACGGGTGAATATACCTATAAAGTTCAGAGGAAAAATTTGTGGTAAAGTGCCTTTGAGACTTTCCTTATTCTGGTGATCTTTTCTTTTATATGAAGCTTTTCCCTCTTGTCTTTTCTTGACTAATATTTTAAAGTTCTAGATACCACATTTAAACAACTCAACTCATTTACCAAATACAGGATTCCCTGTTTTCTCACTTTCCCTCAAAATTGATCTCACTCCAATGCTGCCTCATATGTGAAGAAACTAGATCTTTCATATATGGCTAGTAGAAATGTAAAATGTCACAGCCACTCTGGAAATTTGTATGGTGGTTTCTTGAATAACTAAACATTCACTTAGCATATGGTTCAGCAATCACACTCTTGAAAATGTACCCTAGAGAAATGATAACTTGTGTCTACACAGAACCTGTTCATAGCAGCTTCATTTATAGTGCCCAAAAACTGGGAAAAATTCAGATGTTCTTCTGAATTAGACTTCACTGCTAAAGAAACCATAGAATGATAGTATATCCATAACACAGAATAGTAGTCAGTAATATAAATGGACTATTGATATTTGCAAAACTTTGATGAATTTTCAAAGAATTGCACTGAGTGAAAAAAACAAATTTTGAAAGATTACATAATATATGTGCTTTGGACTGAATGTTTGTGCCCCTCCCCAAAAGTATATGTTGAAACCCTAAACCTAAATGTGATGAGATTTCAAGGTGAGGTCTTTGGGAGCTAATTAGGTCATGAGGGTGGAATCCTCATGATTAAATTAGCACCCTTATAAAAAGAGAAAGATATTTGAAATATTTCTCTCTAGCCAGAAAGAAGGCCCTCATCAGAGCCTGTTTAGGCTGGCATACTGATCTCATACTTCCAGGCTCCAGAACCATGAGAAATAAATGTTTGCTGTTTAAGTCACCCAGACTATAGTAATTTATTAAAGCCGCTCCAACTGACTAAGGCAATATAATTCTATGCATATACCATTTGTGAAATGAAAAAATTATGAACATGGAAAAGAAATCAGTGGTTGTCAGGGCTTAGAGACAATGGTAAGCAGGGAGGAAGGTGTGACTTCAAAGAGGAACACAAGATAGACCTTTGTGGTAATGGAATATTTCCGTGTCTTTTTTGCAGTGATGGTTACTTGAACTTATACATGTAAGGAAATGGTATAGAACTATACAAATTTGTTGTACCAATGTCAATATTCAGGTTTTGATTGTGTGCTATAATTCTGTAAGATATAACCTTTGGAGGAAACTGAGTAAAGGTTATGATATGATTTGGCTCTGTCACCACCCACATCTCATCTTGAATTGTAGCTCTCATAATCCCCATGTGTTGTGAGAGTGACCTGGTGGAAGGTAATTGAATCAAGGGGGGAGGTTTTTCCCATGCTATTCTCATAATAGTAAAAAAGTGTTACTAGATCTGATGGTTTTATAAAGGGCAGTTCCCCTGCACATGCTCTCTTGCCTGATGCTATGTAAGATGTGACTTGGCTCTTCCTTTGCCTTCCACCATGATTGTGAGGACTCCCTCACAGTTAGCCATGCTGAACTGTGAGTCAATTAAACCCCTTTCCTTTATAAACTACCCAGTCTCAGGCAAGTCTTTATTAACAGCATGAGAACGGACTACTCCAGGGTACATAAGACCTTTCATCTTTGCAATTACTGTGCTATAATTAAATAATTCTTTAATAATAAACGGTTAAAAATGAAGTCTTTATTAAGACTACTTTTCCCCCAGGATTGACTTTGTGAGTATACAATCTGTGTGTTTATCATCAGGACCCTGAGCTTTTCTTAATGTTGTGCTGTTGCTGTGTTGAAACTCTTAATAAAATTTTAACAAGAGACCCCACATTTTCATTTTGCACAGGGCTCCACAAATTATGTATCTGGTCTTGGTTGCCCTAGTTAATTCCTGATATTTGTTTAAGACAGTATCAAACTTTATTTTCTTGTGACTCTTAGGAAACTTTACTCATTATCAGGTATAATTTTAATTTTTTTAATCATCATTTGAGACTGACAATTTTTCTTTTGTTCTCCTTCACCACAAATATCAAAATGAAAGTTGTCATTCTGGGGAAGCGGCCAAATACTTTAGAGACAACACGAACATCTTGCAGTTCAAAATAAAAGGGATAATCTGATTTTTATTTAATTAAACACAAGCCAGATGATAAATATACAGAACTGACTTTAAGGTATCTTCCCAACATACGTTAATTTTCAGTTGAATAAAAACAGCATATGTAAAGAACACTTTGATCCATTCTTTTTCTTTTAATCTTATTTTTTTTCACAATGATTCTTCTTACAACTCAGAACATTTATCCTTTTGATTATAAACTTCCCATCCTTTTTAAGTTGGATAAAGGATACTTGCTTGCTCCACATACAAGAATCATTTCAAGTGATTTATTATAGTAATAACAATAAGAATGACAAATTAAATCAGGATAGCACTTAAGGTACTTGCTAAATGCAAGTCTCCTAGATATTTGAATTGTTCATTCAGAGAATAGTAACTTTATCTGCATATAGCCACATTTCAAAATCAGAAGAGTTTATTTGGAATTTTACATTGTTCCTCCTGTAGCTTTCCTGTTCCAGTGCCAAAAGCAGAAGGGGGCTATCACTCTCCCTCTACTAGCTTTAAAGAGAAGAGGTAAGGACAAGAATGACATCTTGCTGACTTCACTTCTCCTTGCCCTGACCCCTGAAACTAAGTATGTGTAAATCACTCTTGTAATATTTCTGCCTTGGCTTATTATCCCATACTCTGTTTTTCTTTTTTGTAAATTCTCCTTCTTGCCTCCTTGTGGTTAAGTTCATTATCAACACCCTCTACCTTAAAATTAAAGTAATCAGAGCTATATTTTTCTACATTGATGCTTAAAACTTTGCTTTCTTCACCTGTACCTTGCATTCACGCTGTTTATTTCACTTTAAGATAATATTAATTAACTTATTTATTTATTTTGCTCTTTTATTTTTTTTATTTCAATAGCTTTTGTGGTACAAGTGTTTTTGGTTACACAGATGAATTAAATAGTGTTGAATTCTGAGATTTAATGTACCCATCACCTGAATAGTGTACTCTGTAGCCAATATGTAGTTTTTTTATCTCACACCTGCCCTTTACCTTCCCCCTTCTGAATCTCCAAAGTCTGTTATATCACTCTGTATGCTTTTATGTACTCATAATTTAGCTCCCACTTATAAATGAGAACATAAGGTTTTTGGTTTCCCATTTCTAAGGTACTTCACTTAGAATAATGACCTCCAGATCCATCCAAGTTGCTGCAAAAGACATTATTTTATTCCTTTTTATTTGAGTAGTATTTCATTGTTCGTATATACCACATTTTTTTATCCACTCATTGATCGATGGCCACTTAGGTTGGTTCCATATCTTTGCAATTGTGAATTGGACTGCAATAAACATATACATGCATGTTTTTTTTTTTTTTGATAATGACTTATTTTCCTTTGGGTAGATACCCAGTAGCGGGATTGCAGGATCAAATGGTAGATCTACTTTAAGTTCTTTAAGAATTTCCACACTGTTTTCTATACAGATTGCACTAATTTACATTCCCACCACCAGTGTATAAGCATTCCTCTTTCATCACATCTATATCAACATCTATTGTTTTTGAATTTTTCATAATGGCCATTCTTTCAGAACTAAGGTGGTACCTCATTGTGGTTTTAATTTGTATTTCTCTGGTGATTAGTGATGTTGAGTATTTTTCTCATACATTTTTTCATCATTTGCATATCTTCTTTTGAGAAATGCCTATTTATGTCATTTGTCCAGTTGTTGATAGGATTATTTGACTTTTTCTTGCTGACTTGTTTAAGTTCCTTGTAGATTTTAGATACTAGTCCTTTGCTGGATGCAGTTTGAAAATGTTTTCTCCCATTCTTTGTCTGTTTGCTGATTATTTGTTTTGCCACGCAGAAGCTTTTAAATTCAATCAGGTCCCATTTATTTTTGTTTTTATTGCTGTTGCATTGTCTTTTGGGGTTTAAGACATAAATTATTTTTCTAGGGCACTGTCCAGAAGAGTTTTTACAATGTTATCTTCTAAAATTTTGTATGGTTTTAGGTGTTGGATTTAAGTCTTTAATCCATCTTGAGTTGATTTTTCTATAAGGTGAGAGATAGGAATACAGTTTCAGTCTTCTGCATGTGGCTAGCCAGTTTTCCCAGCACCATTTATTAATAGGGTGTCTCTTCCCCAAATTATGTTATTGTATGCTTTGTTGAACATCAGTTGGTTGTATTTAGTTTTATTTCTGGGTTATCGATTCTTGTTCATTGGTCTATATGTCTACTTTTATACCAGTACCATGCTGTTTTGGTAACTACAGCCTTGTAGTATTACTTGAAATTTGGTAATGAGATGCCTCTGTATTTGTTCTTTTTGCTAAGGATTTGCCTTTGTTACTTGAGCTCTTTTTTGGTCCCATATGAATTTTAAGGATTATTGTTTTTTTCTAGTTCTATGAAAAATGATGTTGGTATTTTGATAGAATTGCATTGAATCTCTAGATGGCTTTGGGCAGTAGGGTCATTTTCACAATATTGATTTTTCCAATCAATGAGCATGGGAAGTGTTTCCATTTGTTTCAGTCATCTATGGCTTCTTTCAGCAACGTTTTGTAGTTCTCCTTATAGAGATTTTTACCTTCTTGGTTAAATATATTCTTAGATATTTTATTTTATTTTTTGCACCTATTGTAAAAGGGATTGAGTTCTTCATTTTATTTTCAGCTTGATCATTGTTGGTGTATAGAAGTGCTACTGATTTGTGTACATTGACTTTGTAACCTGAGACTTTGCTGAATTCGTTTTTGAAATCTAGGAGTCTTCTGGAGGAAGCTATAAAGTTTTCTAGGTATATAATTATATCATTGGCTAATAGTGATAGTTTGACTTTCTTTTTTCCAATTTGGATGCCTTTTATTTATACCTCTTGCCTCAATTCTCTGGCTAGGACTTCAAATACTATGTTGAATAGAAGTAGTAAAAGTGGCCATCCTTGTCTTGTTCCAGTTTTCGAAAGGATTCTTTCAACTGCACTACATTCAGTATGTTGGCTGTGGGTTTGTCACATATGACTTTTATTAATTAAGTTGAGTCCCTTCTACGCCTAGTTTGTTGAGGATTTTTATTATAAAGGGATGCTGGATTTTTTTGAATGCTTATTCTGTATCTGTTGAGATTATCATATAGTTTTTGTTTTTAATTCTGTTTATGTGAGTATTGCATTTATTGACTTGTGTATGTTAAACCACCCCTGCATCCCTGGGATGAAACCCACTGATGATTGTATATTATCTTTTTGGTTTGCTGTTTGATTAGGCTAGCTAGTAATTTGTTGAGAATTTGCATGTATGTTCATCAAGGATGTTGGTTTCTAGTTTTCTTATTTTGTTATATCCTCTTCTGATTTTGGTATCAGAGTAATACTGGCTTCATAGAATGAATTGGGAAGGATTCCATCTTTCTTAATCTTTTGGAATAGTTTTAGTAGGATTGATACCAATTCCTCTTTGAACACCTGATAGGATTCAGCTTTAATTCCATCTGGCCTTGGCTTTTTTGGTTGGTAATTTTTTATTACTGATTCAATCTCACTGCTTGTTATTAATCTTCTAAGAGATTAAGAGATTATATATCTTCCTGATATAATCTAGGGGGGTACATGTTGATATGGTTTGGCTCTGCGTCGCCACACAAATCCCACCTTGAATTGTAATAATCCCCGCATGTTGTGGGAGAGACCCAGTGGCAGATAATTGAATCAATAGTGGGGGTGTGTTTTTCCCGTGCTATTCTTGTGATAGTAAAAATTCTCACAAGATCTGATGGTTTTATAAAAGGGAGTTCTAAACATGCTCTCTTGCCTGCTGGTATGTAAGACACGACTTTGCTCCTCATTTGCCTCCTGCCATAATTGTGAGGCCACCCCAGTCATGTGCAACTGTAAATCAATTAAACCTCATTCCTTTATCAATCAATTACCCAATCATGGATATGTATTTATTAGCAGCCTGAGAACAGACTAATACAGTAAATTTGTACTGAGTAGTAAGACGCTGCTGTAAAGATACCCAAAAAGTGGAAGTGACTTTGGAACTGGTTAACAGGCAAATGTTGGAACAGCTTGGAGTGCTCAGAAAAATACAGGCAGATGTGGGAAGGTTTGAAACTTCCTAGAGACTTGTTGAATGGCTTTGACCAAAATGCTGATAATGATATGGACAATGAAGTCCAGGATGAGGTGGTCTCAGATGGAGGTGAAGAAGTTGTTGGGAACTGTAGTAAAGGTGACTCTTGCTATGTTTTAGCACAGAGGTTGGTGGCATTTTGCCCCTTCCCTAGAAATCTGCAGAACTTTGAACTTGAGAGACATGATTTAGAGTATCTGGTGGAAGAAATTTCTAAGAAACAAAGAGTTCAAGAGGTGACTTGGATGCTGTTAAAATCATAAATTTTATGTATTCACAAACATATGGTTTGGAATTGAAACTTATGTTTAAAAGAGAAGCAGAGCATAAACGTTTAGAAAATTTGCAGCCTCACAATAAGATAGAAAATAAAAACCCATTTTCTGAGGAGAAATTCAAGCCAGCTGCTGAAATTTGCATAAGTAATGAGGAGCCAAATGTTAATCACCAATATGATGAGGAAAATATCTTCAGGGCATGTCAGAGACCTTCATGGCAGCCCCTCCCATCACAGACCTGGAGGCCTAGGAAGAAAAAATGGTTTTGTGGGCCAGGCCTGGGGACCCCATGCTTTGTACACCCTAGGGACTTGGTCTCCTGCATTTCAGCATCTCCAACTGTGGCTAAATATGGCCAATGTACAGCTCAGGCTATTGCTTCAGAGGGTGCAAGCCACAAGCCTTGGTGGCTTCCCCATGGTGTTGGGCCTGCAGGTGCACAGAAATCAAGAACTGAGGTTTGGGAACCTCTGCCTAGATTTTACAGGATGTATGGAAACACCTGGATGTCTGGGCAGAAGTTTGCTCTAGGGGTGGGGCCCTCATGGAGAACCTCTGCTAGGGCAGTGTGTAAGGGAAATGTGGATTTGAAGCTCCCACACAGAGTCCCCACTGGGGCACTGCCTCATGGAGCTGTGAAAAGAGGGCCACCATCTTCCAGACCCCAGAATGGTAGATCCACCTACAGCTTGCACTGTGTGCCTGGAAAAGCTTCAGACACTCAATACCAGCCCAGGAAAGCAGCTGGGATGGGGACTGTTCCCTACTACAAAGCCACAGGGAAGAACTGACAAGACCATGTGAACCCACCTCTTGGATCAGTGTGACCTAGATGTGAGACATGGAGTCAAAGGAGAACATTTCATAGCTTTAAGATTTGGCAGCCCTGCTAGATTTTGGACTTGCATGGGGCCTGTAGCCCCTTTGTTTTGGCCCATTTCTCCCATTTGGAATGAATGTATCTACCCAATGCCTGTACCCCCCATTGTATCTAGAAAATAACTAATGTGCTTTAGATTTTACAGTCCCCTAGGTGGAAGATACTTGCCTTGTTTCAGATGAGACTTTAGACTGTGGAGTTAGTTCCTTTTGAGTTAGTGCTGAAATGAGTTAAGACAATGGGGGAAGTGTTGGGAAGGCATGACTGGTTTTGAAATATGAGGACATGAGATTTGGGAGGGGCCAGGGGTGGAGTGATGTAGTTTAGCTCTGTGTCCCCAGCCAAATATCATCTTGAATTGTAAGAATTCACATGTGTTATGGGATGGACCCAATAGGAGGTAATTGAACCATTGGGGTGGGTTTTTCCCATGCTGTTCTCATGATAGTGAATAAGTCTCACAGGATTTGATGGTTTTATAAAGGGGAGTTCCCCTGCACATGCTCTCTTGCCTGACACCGTGTAAGACATGACTTTAGTCCTCATTCACCTTTCACCATGATTGTAAGGCTTCCACAGCCATGTGGAACTGTGAATCAATTTAACCTCTTTCCTATATAAATTACCCAGTCTTGGGTATGTCTTTGTCAGCAGTGTGAGAACAGACTAATACACGTTTCCAGGAATTTATCCATTTCCTCTAAGTTTTCCAGTTTGTGTATATAATAGTGTTCATAGCAGTCTCAAATGATATTTTGTGTTTTTGTGGTGTCATTTGGAATGTCCCCAGTTTCACTTATAATTCAGTTTATATGAATTTCTTCTTTTCTTAGCTAATTTTGCTAATGGTCTATCAATTTTGTTTATCTTTTCAAGGAACAATAGCTTTTTGTTTCATTGATCTTTTGTATTTTATGTTTGTTTGAATTTCATTTACTTCTGCTCTGATCTTTGTTATTCCTTTCCTTCGCTTGCTTTGAGTTAGGTTGTTCTTTCTTGCCTTGTTCCTTGAGGCATGACACTAGATTGTCAATTTGTGGTCAAACTTTCCTCTTAGCACTGCTTTTGCTGGATCCCAGAGGTTTTGGTAATCAGTATCATTATTATCATTCATTTCAAAGACTTAAAAAATTTTTCATCTTAATTTTTTTATCTCAAAAATCATTCAGAAACAAATTGTTTAATTTTCATATATGTGTAAAGTTTGAGGAGTTCCTTTTGAAGTTGATTTCCAGTTTTATTTCACTGTGGTCTGAAAATATACTTGATATGATTTTGATGTTTTTAATTTATTGAGACTTGTTTTGTGGTCAATTATATGGATTATATTGAAGAGTGCTCCAAGTGCTGGTGAGAAGAATGTATACTCTGCAGTTCTCAGGTAGAATGATCCATAAACATCTGTTAAGTTCATTTATTGTAGAGTGTAGTTTTAAGTACATTTTGTTGTTGTCATTGTTGTTGTTATTGTTGACTGTCTCAATCTGTCTACTGCTACCAGTGGATTATTGAAGTCTTCCACTACTATTTTGTTGCTATCTACCTCATTTTTTAGGTCTTGTAGTATTTTTTTACCTTTTATTTTAATTCCGGGGTACAAGTGCTAGTTTGTTACATAGGTAAACTTTTGTCATAGGGGATTGTTGTGCAGATTATTTTATCACCCAGGTATTAAGCCTAGTATCCATTAGTTATTTTTCTGATCTTCTCCCTCCTTCCACATTCCACCCTCTGAAAAACCCCGTTGTGTTTTTTTTCCCCTCTATGTGTCCACATGTTGTCATAGTTTAGCACTCACTTCGAAATGAGAACATGTGGCATTTGGTCTTCTGTTCCTGCATTTGTTTCCTAAGGATAATTGCCTCCAACTCCATCCATGTCCCTGCAAAGGACATGATCTCATTCTTTTATGGCTGAATAATATTCTATGGTGTCTATGTACCACATTATTTTTATACTGTTTATTACTGATGAGCATTTAAGTTTATTTCATGTCTTTGCTACTGTGAATAGTGCTACAATGAACATATGTGTGCATGTGTCTTTATAATAGAAAGATTTATACTCCTTTGAGTATATAGACAGTAATGAGATTGCTGGGTTGAATGGTATTTCTGTCTTTAGGTCTTTGAGGAATTGCCACACTGTCTTCCACAATGGTTGAACAAATTTACACTCCCAACAACACTGTATATGTATGCCAGCATTTGTTATGTTTTGACTTTTTAATAATTGCCATTGTGACTGGTGTGACATGCTATCTCATTTTGGTTTTGATTTGCATTTCACTAATAATCAGTGATGTTGAGCTTTTTTTCATGTGATTGCTGGCCACATGTATGTCTTCTCTTCCAAAGTATCTTTCATGTACTGTGCCCACTATTTTAATGAGGTTTTTCTTTGTAAATTTGTTTAACTTCCTTATAGATGCTGGATATTAGACCTTTGTGAGATGCATAGTTTGCAAAAATTTTCTACCTTTCTGTAGGTTGTCTGCTTACTCTGCTGATGGTTTATTTTGCTGTGCAGAAGCTCTTTAGTTTAATCAGATCCCATTTGTCAATTTTTGCTTTTCTTGCAATTGCTTTTGAAGACTTCGTTGTAAAATCTTTACCTGTGCCCATGTTTTGAATGGTACTGCCTAAGTTATCTTCCAGGATTTTTATAGATTTGGGTTTTTCATTTAAGTATTTAATCCATTTTGAGTTAATTTTTGTATATGGTGTAAGGAAGGGGTCCAGTTTTAATCTTCTGCATATGGCTAGCCAGTTATCCCAGCACCATTTATTGAATACAGAATCCCTTTCCCATTGCTCGTTTTTGTTAGGTTTGTCAAAGATCACATAGTTGTAAGTGTGCAATATTATTTCCAGGTTCTTTATTCTGTTCCATTGGTCTGTGTTTCTGTTTTTGTACCAGTCCCATGTTGTTTAGGTTACTGTAGCCCTGTAGTATAGTTTGAAGTTGGGTAGCGTGATGCCTCCAGCTTTGTTTTTTGTTTTTTGGGGATTTTTTGTTGGTTTGTTTAGGATTACCTTGGCTATTCTGGCTTTTTTGTAGTTCTATATGAATTTTTAAATGGTGTTTTCTAGTTCTGAGAAGAATGTCATGAGTTGTTTGATAGGAATATTGTTGAATTTATACATTGCTTTGGGCCGTATGTTCATTTTTACAATATTGATTCTTCCTATTCATAAGCATGGAATGTTTTTCCATTTATTTGTAGCATCTCTGACTTCAAGGAGCTGTGTTTTATAGTTCTACTTGTAGAGATCTTTCACCCCCCAAATTAGTTGTATTCCTAGGTGTTTTATTCTCTTTGTAACAATCGTAAATGGGAGTAGATTCCTGATTTGGATCTTGACTTGACTGTTGTTAATGTATAGGAATGCTAGTAATTTTTGCACAGTAATTTTGTATCTTGTGACTTTGCTGAAGTTGTTTATCAGCTTAAGAAGCTTTTGGGCTGAGTCTATGGGGTTTTCTACATATAGGATTATGTCATCTGCAAACAGGGATAGTTTCTTTCATTTGCCTGATTGCCCTGAGTAAGCCTTTCCAATACCATGTTTAATAGGAGTGATGAGAGGGCATCCTTGTCTTGTGCCTGTTTTCAAGGGAAATGCTTGAAGTTTTTGCCCATTCAGTATGATATTAGCTATGGGTTTGTCATACATGGCTCTTACAATTTTTAGGTATGTTTCTTCCATAACTACTTCATTGTAAGTTTTTAACATAAATCAATGTTGAATTTTGTTGAAAGCCTTTTTGGCATCTAGGGAAATAATCATGTGTTTTTTGTATTTAGTTCTGTTTATGTGCTAAATCACATAAATTGATTGGCATATGTTGAATAAATCTTCAATCCCAGGGATAAAGCCTACTTGATTGTGGTGAATAAGCATCTTGATGTGTTGATCGTTTCAGTTTGCTAGTATTTTGTTGAGAATTATTGTATCTATATTCATCAAGGATATTAGCCTGAAGTTTTCTTTTTGGTTGTATCTCTGCCAGGTTTTGATATCAGAATAATGCTGGCTTCATGGAATGACTTAGAGAGGAGTCCCTTCTCCTCATAGTTTTGGAATATTTACAGCCATAATGGTATCAGCTCTTCTTTATACTTCTGGCAAATTTCGGCTGTGAATTCATCTGGTCCTGGGCTTTTCTTTGGTTGGGAGGCTATTTATTACTGACTCAATTTTAGAGCTTGTTATTGGTCTTCTCAGGAATTCATTTTCTTACTGGTTCATTCCTGGGAGGGTGTATACATCCAGTAATTCATCTATTTTGTCTGTATTTTCTAGTTTATGCATATAGAGGTCTTCATAATATTCTTTGATGGTTGTATTTCTGTGAGGTCAGTGGTAATATGTCCCTTGTTATTTCTGATTGTGTTTATTTGAATCTTCTCTCTTTTTTGTTCTTTATTACTCTAACTAGCAGTCTATATATTTTATTTAAAAAAAA
Organism: Homo sapiens; assembly: GCF_000001405.40. NCBI lineage: Eukaryota > Metazoa > Chordata > Mammalia > Primates > Hominidae > Homo > Homo sapiens. The sequence goes on along the minus strand of NC_000024.10, from coordinate 3,819,285 downwards.
CAGCACGTGGATTCATTGATCTTTGGAATTTCTGTGTGTCTCTGGCTCTTTCAGTTCAGCTCTGATTTCAGTTATTTCTTGTCTTCCACTAGCATTGAGATTTGTTTGCTCTTGGCTCTCTAGCTCTTTTAATTGTGATGTTAGGTTGTTAATGTGAAATCGTTCTAACTTTTTGATGTGGAGATTTAACACTATAAATTTCCCTCTCACCACTGCATTTGCTTTGTCCCAGAGATTTTGGTATGGTGTAGCTTGGTCTTCATCATTTCAAAGATTTCTGCCTTAATTTTATTATTTATCTAAAAGTTATTTAGGAGCAGGTTATTCAATTTCCATGTAATTGTAGGGATTTGAGTAAATTTCTTAGTCTTGATTTCTGATTTAATGGTGCTGTGGTCTAAAAGACTGTTTGTTAGGATTATAGCTCTTTTATATTTGCTGAGGAGTGTTTTAACTCCAATTATATGATAGATTGTAGAGTATGTTCTATGTGGCAATGAGAAGATTTTATATTCTGTTGTTTTTAGGTGGAAAGTTTCATAGTTACCTATAAGGTTCATTTGATCTAGTTTAGGTTCTGAATATCTTTATTAATATTCTGTCTTGATTATCTGTTTAATATTGTCACTGGGTTGTTAAAGTCTCCCACTATTACTGTGTGAGAGTCTAAGTCTCTTTGTAGGTCTCTAATAAATTGCTTTATGAATCTGAGTGTTCCTGTGTTTCAGTCCATACATATTTAGAATAGTTAACTCTTCTTGTTGAATTTAACCCTTTGTCACTATGCAATTCCCTTGTCTTTTTTTATTTTTGTTGATATAAAATCTATTTTGTCAGAAACTAGGATTACAAATTATGCTTTTTTTCTGTTTTCCATTTGCTTGGTAGATTTTTCTTTATTCCTTTATTTTGAGCCTCTCTGTGTCAGTGCATGTGAGATGGGTCTCTTGAAGAAATTGTACCAATGGGTCTTGGTTCTTTATCCGGATTGCCATTCTGAGTCTTTTAATTGGAGCATTTATTCCATCTACATTTAAAGTTAGTATTTATATGTGTTGATTTGATCCTGTCATAATGATGTTAACTGGTTATATTGCAGACTTGTTTATATGGTTGCTTTATAGTGTCAATGGTCTGTGTACTTCAGTGTGTTTTTTTAATGACTGATAATGGTCTTTCCTCCCCATATTTAGTGGTTCCTTCAAAAGCTGTTGTAAAGTCAGTCTGGGGGCACCAAATTTCCTCAGCATTTGCTTGTTCGAAAAGGATTTTATTTCTCCTTTGTTTATGAAGCTTTGTTCAGCCAAACATGAAATTCTGGGTTGGAATGTTGAATACTGTCCCCCAATCTCTTCTGGCTTCCAGTGTTTCAGCTGCGAGGTCTGCTGTTAGTCTGATGAGCTTCCTGTGTAGGTGACCTAACTATTATTTCTAGCTGTCTTTAACATTTTTTCTTTAATTTCACCCTTGGGGAATCTAATGATTATGTGTCTTGAGGATGATCTTTTTGTGAAGTATCTTACTTGGGTTCTCTGCATTTCCTGAATTTGAATGTTGGCCTTTCTAGCGAGTTTTGGAAAGTCCTCATGGATGATATCCTGACTATGTTTTCCAAGTTGGTTCCATTTTCCCCATCTTTTTCTGGGACACCAATCAGTTACAGATTATTTTCTTTTTACATAATTCTATATTCCTTGGAGGTCTTGTTCTTTCTTTTTATTTATTTTTTCCCTATTCTTGTTTGCCGATCTTATTTCAGAAATCCAGTCTTTGAACTCAGAGATTCTTTCCTCTGCTTGGTCTATTCTGCTATTAATTCTTGTGATTGCATTAAGAAATTCTTGTAGTGTGTTTTTTGGCTCTATCAGGTCAGTTATTTTCTTCTCTAGACTGGCTATTTTGTCTGTCAGATCTTGCATTGTTTTATTATGGTTTTTAGCTCCTTGTATTGGGTATCATTCCAGCCATCTCAGCCTCAGCCCAGTTCTGAACCCTTGCTAGAGAGATGATGCAGTCATTTGCAAGAAAGAGGGCACTCTAACTTTTTGAGTTTCCAACTTTCTTACACTTTTCTTTCTCATGTTTGTGGGTTTATTTACCTTCTATCTTTGAGATTGCTAACCTATGAATTTTTTCTCTTTTATGCTATTTGATGACCTTGAGGGTTTGATTGTGTCATAAGGTGGATTCAGCTAGCTGGGTTCATTTCCTGGAGGTTTTAGGGGGACCAAGGATCAGCTCTCAACTCCTGGACTTCGTGCTCGAAGTGGGGGACTTGTATCAGTTCCAGACATTGTTCTCTGTCTCCTTGAGTTATGGAGTCCACTGCACCAGAAGGTGCGGAGAGTGGAAGCACCTGCAGTAGAGTGCTAGTAAATGCAGGTGTGCCTGCCTCCCTGCAGGCATTCACCACAGTGGCAGATGCAAGAAAACTCTGGGGGATGCAGGGGGCTCCTGTTGGAGACTGTGTGCACCATTGCACTGAAGGTGGTGTTGGTTTGGGTTGGAGTGCTGGCTGGCACTGGTCTGGGTGTCCTTTCTGTGACCTGCAAGCAGTTGTGATTACTCAGGTTGTAAAAAGGTCCACTGTTCTCTGTGCAGTTTTAGCACAAGGGTGTGGTACATTCAGGGGCTGGGTTTGCTGGCTCTGTGCCCACCAAGGCTGTATCTGCGATGGTGATTAGTTGCGGGGGTGCTGGTGGTGGACTACACTTCTGCGTGCTGGAAAGACAAGTAAAGCAAAACCTTCCCATATAGACACACACCTGTGGGGAGATGCTGTGGGCTTTGGGGAAGCTGCAGTATCAGGAGGGAACATGTGGGCTCGTTCATGGATGTAGAAGCCACCTCGCTGGAGCTCTCTATTGATCAGGCACAATCCACTGTTGTAGAAGCTATGGTGTGTGCCCCCAGGTCACCCAAGACTTCCCTGTTAAGCAGGCATGGCCAGGCCGTGGCCCTGGGAGAGGCCAGCAGACCAAGGAGTGCTCAGATTGGGCCAGCCCCATCTTAGTGCAAGACTGCCCTGCAAAGACAAGGTCTGACAGTTCCCCTAGGACTAACATCTCTTATGGGAGCAAGACAAGCCTAGAGCAATGGCCATCTCTGATCATGCTCCACTAGAGATGCTACCACACCAAACCCTATAGGCTTCACATCATCTAGCTTGCTGCCCCACCACTTACATGAGCAGCCTTCCCTGCCACCTTAAGTGTCTGCTGTGGTCAATGGGTCCCCTTCTTTTGGGGTCCCAAAGTTCTGTTTTGAGAGTGGGTTGCTCCTTGCCAGGTAAACTCCTCCATTCTGCTGGAGTTGTTGTGGTTAAAAAATGAGTCTCTGTGCACAGTAACCAATGAGGGGTTCCCAGTTTTCTTCCCCTTCAGCCTAGCTTCTGTGTCTTTTCTCTGCCCACTCTCAGCACCTTCCCTCTAAATATCTTTTAAAAGCATGCCAGCAGTCTCAGTCCCTCCATGGGAGCTGTTCCACTTGTGTGCATCTAGTCAGCCATCTTGCTCTTCCCTAGTAATTGTTTTATGAATCTGGGTTCTTCAATGTTAGGTATATATATAATTAGAATTATAATGTCTTCTTGTTGGAATGATCCTTTTATCATTATATAATGACCCCCTTTGTCTTTTATTATTGCTGTTGCTTTAAAGTCTGTTTTATCTGATACAAGAATAGCTACTACTGCCTGTTTTTGGTTTTTATTTTTATTTCCATGGAATATCTTCCACCCCTTTATCTTGAGTTTATATGAATTCTTACATTTTAGGTATCTTGAAGACAGCAGATATTTGATTTTGTTTCTTTTATCCATTCTGCCAATCTATATTATTTAAGTGGAGCAATTGTCATATACATTATATTAATTATTACCTAGTGATATGGTTAGGTTTTGTGTTCCCACACATATCTCATCTTGAGTTATAATCCACATAATCCCCAAATGTCAGGGGAGATGCAAGGTGGAGGTAATTGAATCATGGGGCAGCTTCCCCCATTCTGTTCTTGTAATACCTAGTGAGTGCTCATGGAGATCTGATGGTTTTCTAAGGGGCTCTTCTCTTTTTTCTCTACACTTCTCCTTTCTTTTGCCTCGTAAAAAAAGGTGTCTTGCTTCCTCTTTTCTTTTTGTCTTGATTGTAAGTTTTCTGAATCCTCTCCAGCCAAGATGAACAGTGGTCAATTAAATCTATTTTCTTTATAAATTACCCAGTCGCAGGCAGTTGTTTATAGCAGTATTAACATGGACAAATACAATAAATTGATACTACAGGGAGTAGGGTGCTGCTATAGAAATACACAAAAATGTGGAAGCAACTTTGGAACTGAGTAACAGACAGAGAATGGAACAGCTTGGAGGGCTTAAAAAAAGACAGGAAGATGTGGAAGGTTTGGAACTTCCTAGAGTCTTGTTGAATGGTTTTGACCAGAATGCTGATAGTGATATGAGTAACGAAGTCCAGACTGAGGTGGTTTTGGGTGAAGAAGAGGTAACTCTTGCTGTGCTTTAGCAAAGAGACTGGTGGCATTTTGCTCCAGGCCTTGCTATCTGTGGAGCTTTGAACTTGATAGAAATAATCTGAAATAGGAACTTATGTTTAAAAGGGAAGCAGAGCATAAAAGATTGAAAAATTTGCAGCCTGACAATGCAGTCAAAAACAAAACACATTTTCTGGGAAGAAATTCAGGCCTGGCACATAAATATGCATACGTAAAAAGGAGCCAAGTGTTAATCACCAAGACGATGGGAAAATGTCTCCAGGACATGTGAGACACCTTCATTGCAGCCCCTCCCATCACAGGCCCAGAGATCTAGAAGGAAAAAATGGCATTCTGGGTCAGGTCCAGGGTCCCCATGTTGTGCGCAGCTTTGGGAATTGGTGCCCTGTGTCCCAGCCACTTCAGCTGTGGCTAAAAGGAGCCAAAGTACAGCTCAGGTTGTTGCTTCAGAGGGTGAAAGCCCCAAGCCTTGAGAGCTTTCACATGGTGTTGGACCTGTGGGTGTGCAGAGGTCAAGAAATGAGGTTAGGGAACCACTGCCTAGATTTCAGAGTGTGTATGGAAATGCCTGGATGTCCAGGAAGAAGTCTGGTGCAGAGGTGGAGTCCTCATGCAGAAACTCTGCTAGTGCATTGTAGAAGGGAAATGTGGGGCCAGAGCCCACACACAGAGTCCCCTCTAGGGCACTGCTTAGTGGAGCTGTGAGAAGAGGGCCACCATCCTCTAGACCCCAGAATGGTAGATCTACCAACAGCTTGCACCATGTGCCTGGAAAAGCCACAGACACTCAATGCCAGCCCATAAGAGAAGCAGGGATGGGGGCTGTACTCTGCAAAGCCACAGGGTCAGGGCTGCCCAAGATGGTAGGAGCCCACTTCTTGCATCAGTGTAACCTGGATATGAGACATGGAGTCAAAGAAGATCATTTCAGAGCTTTAATATTTGACTCCCCTGCTGGATTTTGGTCCATGGGGCCTGTAGCCCCTTTGTTTTGGCCAATTTCTCCCATTTGGAATGACTGCATTTATCCAATGCCTGTACCACTTAGACTTCCTAGTGACTAGGAAGTCACTAACTTTCTTTTGATTTTACAGGCTCATAGACAGAAGAGACTTGCCTTATCTTAGATGAGACTTTGGTCTTGGACTTTTGTGTTAATACTGGAATTAATGAAGACTTTGGGAAGGCATGATTGGTTTTGAAACATGAAAGGGCATGAGATTTGGGAGGGGCCAGGGGCAGAATTATATGGTTAGGCTTTGTGTCCCCACCCAAATCTCATTTGAATTATAATCCCCATAATCCCCAAATGTCAAGGTAGAGACCAGGTGGAAGTAACTGCTCATTGGGGCAGTTTCCCTCATGCTGTTCTCATGATAGTGAGTTCCCATGAGATCTGATGGTTTTATAAGGGGCCCTTCCCCCTTCACTCAGCACTTCTTCCTACCACCTTGTGAAGATGGTGCCTTGCTCCCTCTTCAACTTCGCCATGATTGTAAATTTACCATGGCTTCCCCAGCTGTGCTGAACTGTGAGTCAATTAAATTTCTCTCCCTTATAAATTGCCCAGTCTTGGGCAGTTCTTTATAGCAGTATGAAATCAGACTAATCACCTAGATACTTGGCTTTTTGTTGTTTTGTTATTGTTTTATAGGCTTTTTCAGTTTTATGCTTTCAAGAGGTTTTATTTTGGTACATATCAAGTTTTGTTTCAAGGTTTTGGACTTCTTTTAACATTTCTTGTACAACTGGCCTGATAGTAACAAATTTCCTCAGCATTTGTTTGACTGGAAATGATTTTATTTCTCCTTCATTTAAGAAACTTTGTTTTGCTGGATACAAGATTATTGGCTGACAGTTATTCTGTTTAAGGAAGCTAAAGATAGGACCCTATTTCCTTCTGGCTTATAAAGTTTCTGTTGAGAAGTCTCCTGTTAGTATGATGGGTTTTCCTTTATAGGTTACCTGATGCTTTTGTTTTACTGCTCTTGGAGTTCTTTCTTTCATATTGATTTTAGATAGCTTAATGAATATATGCCTTGGTGATGACTTTTTGCAATAAATCTCCCAGGAGTTCTTTGAGCTTCTTCTGTTTGAATATCAGTCTCCAGCAAGGCCATGGAAGAGTTTCTCAATTATTACCTCAAAAATGTTTTTCACACTTTTAGCTTTCCCTTCTCCCTTAGGAACACCAATTATTCTTTGGTTTGGTCATTTTAGATGATTCTGTAATTATGGAGACTTTGTTTATTTCCTTTGATTCTTATTTCTTTTGTTTTTCTCTGATTGCATTAATTTGTAAGCCTTGTCTTCAAGCTCTGAAAGTCATTCTTCTACTTGTTCTAGTCTATTGTTGAAACTTCTTTCCACTGTATTTTTTAATTCCCTGAATATGTCTTACATTTCCAGAACTTCTGATTGATATTCCTTAAGATATCATTCTCTTTAGAAATCTTGTTATTCACGCCTGAATTATTTTTTGTTTGCTTGTTTTACTTTCTTTATGTTGGTTTTTACCTTTCTATGGTGTCTTGTTGAGTAGCTTAATAATCAACCTTTGGGGATTCTTTATCTGGTATTTCAAATATTTCATCTTGATTTGAATCCATTGCCAGAGGGCTAGTGTGATTTTTGGAGGGTGTTATAGAATCCTCTTTTGTCATATTACCAGAATTACTTTTCTGGTTCCTTCTGATTTGGGTAGAATATTTCTTCTATTTTTTCTTAATTTTATTTCTTATTTCACTGTGTTTATTTCAAAATTGCCCTTTTTCCCCTTAAGCATATGACTTTAATGTTTATAGTTTATTGTAGTATAATTAAGCTCTTAATGCTTTCAGGATGATGGTTTTATATGAGTTCCATGGTTACAGAGAGTCTTTATATGATTGCTTTCTCAGATGCTGGTTGTAGTGGAAACATGCTTGATGTGTGAGAAGTTCAGTCTCCTATAGAGTTGGAATGGCAGAGATCTCTTGAAACTCATTCCCTATGGTTTGCACTTTTATTTATTTATTTTTCCCCACTATTTTATTTACTAGGTTGAATATTTTATTTACTGGGTTGAATATTCCCAAGTAATTTATTTACTGAGCCAGACTACAGTGAATGCTGTCGCTTTATTTATTTATTTATTTATTTATTTATTTATTTATTTATTTTTCCCAGTATTTTATTTACTGGGTTGAATCACTCAGGTTTCTGGCCTGTATGGGAGGCGTCCTTAGCTAAAAACTGTCTATGACTAAAGCAGGTTGGTGAATGCAATACCCAATGGTGGGCAGGGGTCCTAGCCTTGACAGAGATGGCTGGGGGAGCTCTCAGTGAGTCACACTGAGTTCTTGTCAGAGGAAAGGACTGGAGCCATCTCAACTCCCCTGCCAGGACAGCAGGAAAGCAATCCACCTCCCACACATACTCTTGACCCAGTGTTCTGGGTATTCAGATCAGACAGGCATCTCTTTTATTATGCAGGAATGTTGATGCTCCAAGTAGAGACGAATGGTGACTGTACATCTCCTGCAAGCTTGCACCTGGAGGGTGCCCCTCCTATGTGGATCACCCTGAAGTGTTTCAGAAAAGCTGTCTATATGTGCACCCATGCCACTCTCCTGAGAGAAAAGCCCCAGCTATGTCTTCAGTGGTGGAAAAGGGGGGAAATATTTCCTCTTCTCCAAGATGCTTCATGAGCACCAGGGCTTCCTGACTGTTGGAGTAGAACTGCAGACTTTCCCTGCTGAGCCCATTACTGCAACTGTGCCTCTGCTGAAAAAAACATTCCACAAGTGGAAAAATCTGGGACTGAAGGCCTGCTATCCAGATACTTTTGTGCCGTAGTGTTCCCTTTACGTGACGTACTACCCCTTGCCCTAGTAGTAGGAGTCCCTGAGAGCCAGAATGTGAATGTTGTTGCTCTTCTGGGCCTAGCTGCCTAATGGGTCTGCCACACTCTAGGCTGGTGCTGGGAAATGTCTGCAAGGGATTCAGAGATGTGACCTGTCCTCAAGTCTCCCAGTATCAAGTACCAGCACCAGTTCTGATGCAGGCGGCAGGGGAGTAATGTAGACTCGTTGAGATTCTTTGGCTATGGATAGTGTTAGTGTGTTGGCTTTCTCAAATGCCAGTTGCAGCAAAAATAAACTGGTCACGTAGATAGTATCAGGACTTCCTGGTTAGTCATGTTGGTGCAGGCAATGGTGATAGCTGATATCATGTACAAATTTTCTCCTTCCGGGGTGCAGTGTTATCTACCTGAAAGTGCTGTAATGGACTGTGTTGGTTGGCCTCCAGCTAGGAGGTCGTGTTTGCAAAGGAGCATCAGCTGCAGTAGTAGTGTTGAGATTTGTGTTTGCCTTATGTTACCCAAAGGAGGCACTCTGGTTTCTCAGGTGATGGGTGGGGACATAAAGCTCCCAAAAGTTCCTGTCTTTTGTGTTAGGCTATCAGTGTGGGTAGAGGGGCAAAATCAGGTGTGGGCTGGGTCAGAGAGATCCATGCTCTGACTCTCCATATGTGGGGCAATCTGCAGCCACTGTGGGAGTTGAGGGACAGTTACCTCACCACTGATGTAATGTACCAGAGTGGAGAAAAGCTGCCTCTACTGCACAGAATAGTTTGTGCAAGAAGTGGGGCACAGCAGGCATCAGTAAGCCCCACCCAGATCCCATGCACTTGGCAAGGTAGTTCTCACACCTGTAGATTTCTGCTAACAGCAGTGAGCTAAATTCCAGGACGTCTATATTCAGAACTAAGACTGCCGCAGACCAGAAGCCTCCCTGGGAAATAGCTATTTCACAAAATTCAGGTAGGAGCTTCTTTCAACTTGCAAATGTTGCCTGAGTTAATTGGGTGACTTCCACAAGGTCCCACACAAGGCTCTTCCCATTCCTCACTGCTCCCTAAATCAGTACCAGCTCTGTGTAGCGTTCAGGCTTTTCCTGAGGGCTGGATTTCCAGGTTTCCTGGTGGGAGGGTATATCCCGAAGCACTCTCTTTCCCTCTCACATTCTGGGAAGTTAAAACAGTTTTTTGCCTACCTTACAATGTAGGCTGCAGCATGCAGCTTCTTTCAGAGAATTGGTGGATTTCCGTTTTCCTGTTAAGTTTCTGCATTTCTTCTTGGAAATAGAGTTCACAGTGTGAATGACTATACACTATTTTGTCTTTCCAAGTGGGAGAGTCTTGCTAACACTGACTCCAATTTGCTATCATCTTGGAAAAACAAAATAAAATACAATAAAATAATAACAATAACAAAAACATATGTAAACTTGCATTGTGATTAGGATGATCAATTTACATGATAACTGTAAGAGAAACAATTATACATAAAACTATTATATATAATTGCTCAGCAGCTTGTGGGAATGAATGCCTTTTATAAGAAATTTTATCCATTCAGAATATTTGTGCCATTTTAAATATGAACTGATGCATGTAAGTATTGATAATATAGGGAAATCTATTTAAAATGATGATATAAATGCTTCATGGTGATTTAAATTTTTACATGTATATGTAACTGAATGGGGGAAATTTTGCCATTTCTATTATAATCCAATGTTTTTACTGATTTCTTAAAAAACGAATGTCTCAGAAATAGCACACTAAAATATATTTCTGATATTAGTACTTTCTAAAACAGAACAGAAAATTTTTCAAAGCACATTATATATCTATATGCGCAATCAGAATTTGAATTTGTTAAAAGTAATTAGGTTGGTATAATTTCCTTTGAAAACCTAGTGTTTTTCTATTTGAAAGAAACAAACAAGTTTAAAAAGTTGAAAAGCTCTTTCCATAAAATCAAAGAAACAAACAGAAGACCCTGTCTAAACGTTGAAATACAACAGGGGTAACATTCTCTGGAGTGAGACCTGCTTTATTGTTGCCATTGAGATTGTGCTCAGAAGGATTTGGTTGGAGATGGAATTTACATCTAGAAATTGTGCCTGCTGATAATCTTGAATAATTTTATTGGCTTGCTTCTCTTCGGAAAGATAAGTCCTCCAGTTGGCTACTTATGACATAGCTAAATTTGAACTTTTCCAGAGAATCTCTTTAATAAAGACATGAACTAATTACTGTGGAAATTAGGCTGAAGTAAAAATTCTACATGTGTAATGAAAAAGGATTTAGTAATTATTTTTATCCTCACGTTTAATAACATATCAGGGCAGAGTATTATGAATCTCAATGTTACAGTATGATGTGTCATAGAAAATAACTTTTTAAAAATTATGATGTTTAAAAAAAATTCTATCAGTGATAGCTTCTTTTCCTGATCTGACACTGTATATTAAAAAAAAAAATCTATGACTGCCTCTGATTAAGATGAAAGTATACTTTATACTTGTATCTCTTTGGACAGTGAAAAGCAAAGTATTGCTCTGCAAGGTGTCTGGGATTCAAAACTATGCCACAAAATTGATCAACCAAAAAATAAAAAATGCAATTGTTTTCAACATTAACATAAGGATTATATTGTTAGAATCATTAGCAAAATTTTGAAACAATTTAATTTAGTTGCATTTAATAAACCAGGGTATGGATGTGTACGTCTCAGTGGTCTTAACCTTTCTACATACCCAATAACGTACAGGTTTGTTGCAAAACATTCATTACTTTTTCATTGAAATTCAGACTGCCTCCATGTCTAATGTAGGATATTTGTCAGTCTGGCCTAGAAAGGCAGTATATAAAGTAGAAAACATGATCTAACCAGATATTTTGAAAAAATAAGACAAATATATCAAAGTCAGATCATTCAGTCATGAAATAAGTATCTTTGTTCAAATAGATCATGAAATTAATCTACATGACTTGATTTTCACACCAAAAAAAGGCAATTTGGGAAAATAAGCTCAAGTATAATAGTTATAAGATGAGTGACTCTGAGTTATTAATTTGTATTAAGCCCGGGGCTCTGGAAATTATTGTATTTAGACTATTTTGTGATGATATTAACTTTTGTCCTGTTTAGTTTTCTGCAAGGAAGGTGGAGCATCAACAGCAAAACACAGAGAAAGAAGCTTCCCTTTCTAAAATCCGTGGTGTCTCTCTTTCTAAAATATAGTATATAATTCTTTTTCATTTTTACTCTTGTTTCCTCAATAAGATAAGCATATTAGAGCTGAAAAGCCTTCCAGAAGAGCAATAAAAAAGGATGAAGTATTGGCTGGGTGCGGTGGCTCATGCCAGTAATCCTAGCATTTTGAGAGGCCAAGGCTGGCAGATCGCATGAGCCCAGGAGTTTGAGAACCGCCTGGGCAACATAGTGAAACCCCATCTCTATGAATAAATACAAAAAATTAGCCAGGTGTGGTGGCGCATGCCCCTAGTCCTAGCTACTTTGAAGGCTGAGGTGAGAAAATCACTTGATCCTGGGTGGCAGAGACTCCTATTCTGAAGTAACTAATTTTAAGACAAATGAGAAGGATGAAATTGCTGGCAATAATTTGTCATGAATAGACTAACTGATTTTCCCCAAAGAGTGAAACAGGATGAAAGTACCAATAAATTTCAACAGAAAATTCACAAATGGTAAATATACAGTAAATTGTTAAGAAAACCTAATTTATAAGATAAAAACTTTTATTCTTATAAAAAATGAAATATCATTGTTAATTTATTTTCAAAATTTAGAAAAGCATATTGAAATAAAATATCAATATGACTTGATTTTGACACCAAAAAAGGCAATTGAGGATAATAAGCTCAAGTATAATTAGTTATAACATGATTGAGTTATTAATTCGTATCAAGCCCAGGGCTCTGAAAATTATGGTATCTAGACTATTTTGTGATGATATTAACTTTTGTCCTGTTTGTCATTCTCCAAAAAAACACATTATGAATGTTTTCTGCTGTGTTCTTCTATTTTATTTATTTTACACTTTGTTTCATTTATCAAGCAAATATTTATTGAGTGTTTACCATGTGCCAGACATTAAGATACAATGTTGAGCAAAAACAGTTTGATTCCTACTCTCAGGGAACTTGTAGGTTAAAGGCAGTGACTGGTATTAATCAAATAATTAAAGCAACAAATTAATGAGCTTCAACTAGGCTGAACATAGGAAAACCAGGCACAAGTCTATTGCTATAACCCTAGTAAGAAAAAGGCTTAGTTTGTGTTGGTAGTAGACATGGAGAGAGGTGGAAGAATTTGTGAGCTTTGTGGTCAGTAATATTTCTTTGCATAGTCCATTAACTATGGGTGTATAATGCATTAAGAACTGGGATTATTGGTATTATAATTATACATATATTATACAATGGTTTAAGATTTTAAGGAAATTTCCCCCTTCTTGAAGCTTTGTGTAATTACCCTAATGTAGCCAGGCCTACAGTAATAAGAGTGTTTTAAAATATATGTAGCATAAAAATCATAATTCCCTGTGAATTTATATACCTAGTAATAACCTAATTTTTAAATTATCATCACTAATTTAGAAAGTGTTTCATAAAGTTACTCTCCCAAATGTGTCTTGGTGTGCCTAGTTGCAAGACATCATCAATTTGAAAAATTTGGCAATTAGAAATCAAGATTAATAATTAACAAACATATTATATAACATTCCCAATTCACAGTGCATTCTAACTTGTGAAATATTTCATAAAATGAATAATATTTTTGAGTTAAAAAACCCCAACACTTTTGTTATGAAATATCTCTTTCCTCTTCATTCTTGTTTCTTTGAAATGAAACAGCAAATAATAGTTTTCAAGATAATTTTTCACTAAAAATCAAACATTTCCTGACATTTTATATGACCTTTATCAAAAAAAATATAACCCAGAAATCACTGAAAAGTGCAATATGTATATATTACAAAGATGTATTTTAGCCAAAATGTTACCACAATAAAAGGCATTGCTGTTTGAACTTTGAATTTTCAAACTTTTTTCAATAAACTTGAGAGACAAATATATTAAAGAGATTAAAATTCTTGGAGTACTTTACAAATATTATTTATCTATAGTGTTCTCATTTCAACATGGATCTAGTTAATTTTACTATTCTCAGAGTGATTTTAGAAAATGACAGCAATTTTTTTCTCATTTTGATATTATATGAAAAATGTTTCTTAAAATATATCTGGCAAAAATTATTAATTATGTCATTTATCTTATAGTTAATTTGATGAACAATGTCATTAGATTTTCCACCACAAAAAAAAATTCATCCTAGGTATTAAAGTATTTTTTATTGTTGTTTTATATATTTTTTGAGATAGGGTGTCTCTCTTTCACCTATGCTGGAGTGCAGTGTTGTAATAATGGCAATCAAATGATCCTTCTGTTCAGTCTCCTGAGTAGTTGGCAGTACAAACATGTGTCACACTATGCCCAGCTAATAATTAAAAAAATTGTAAAGACTGTGTCTCACTATGTTGCTCAAGCTGGTAAAGTATCTTTTGAAATAGAGTCTATACAAGGTCAATTGTTACATAGTATTTGATTTATCCTGTCCTTCTCTACCCAAAATACAAGCATATTTTAATTTCTGAATTGTATATAAGGCAACAGAGATAGTGTTATGATAAACCAAGGTAGGAACTGACATTTGCCTCCCTCAAGAGAAGTTTAAATTATAAATCAGTATTTTATCACTGGCATATAGTTTGATCACAGGATAAAAGTGAACAATGAATGTGTTTTCTGGCCATTAAAAACCCATCACATACTAAAATTTGTTTAGTGAGAAAAAGTGTAATTCAATAAAACATTAATTTGAAAATAAGAGGTCTTAATCAAAGAACTAGTTATTAAAGATGTTTTAAGGAATGACGTCAAGGAATATTTTCAAACTGGTTAATGTAGTGGGTATAGAAGTTTACACATTCCACTGGCAATAGCTATCATTGTTATTGCAATGTTCCATACTATGCAATGCTAATGCAGTGTTCCATACTATGGGATTTACCTGGTTGAGGAATTTGGGATTTAAGTCTATTTGATGTGGAGTGTCTGAGGAGGGGTTTTGTTCTTGACATAATAATAAGTAAGGGTGGCTTTGATGTAGGGCTAATAAATAAATGATTCCCCCTAGTTTGTGTAGGATGTTCCTTCCTAGTAAAGGAGTGGGACAATGGGGAATGACCAAGAGTGAGTGAAGGTGACTACCTCAAATGAGCAGTATAGTGGTGGTGTTTTGTATGGGGTTACTTGTATGTCCTTCATGCCAACAACAGAAACAGATGAATGTCCTAATGGGCCTTGATTTTCAGTTAATACTGATAGACTCGCCCCAGTATCCAAAAAGAAGGAAATAATCTTACCAGATACCATCCCAGTTACCCTGGGTTCCGTGGACTCACTGGATGTGGGGGTGAAGGATCCCGGGCACCCTCAGTCTTCCATTGTCAGTGCCAGCAGTGAAGAGATTTCCTCCTGTAATGGTGAGGGGGCCTCATTATGAGCCTCACCCAAACAGGAGGGTGTCCTCTCTGGTTGGGGGGAGGTTATCTTAGGGTTGGAATGTTTCTGGTTGGAGATGTAATTTGTGGTTTATGGTCATGCTGACCTCAGCTATTAGGCTGATGCCCTTTGGATTTAGGCAGTTTTTGATCAAGGGGAACTTTAAAATGGTGGTGCTTGTACAAGATGGCAATGCTCCTGCTCTGTCAAACATAATTTTAACAGCTGAAATAAAAGGGAATAGAAGGCTGAGTGCAGTGGCTTACACCTGTAATCTCAGCAATTTGGGAGGCCAAGGAAGGAGAATCGCTTGAACCCAAGACTTTGAAACCAGCCTGGGAAACATAGTAAGACCTCATCTCTATAAAAATTTAAAAAAAAATAGCATGGCATGGTGGTGCATACCTGTGGTCCCAGCTACTTGGGAGTCTGAGGTGGGAAGACAACTTGAACCTGGAAGGTGAAAGCTGCAGTGAGCTGTGAATATGCCACTGAACTCCAGCCTGGGTGATGGAGCAAGACCCTGTCTCTAAGAAAACAGACAAAAAAACAAACAAATTAAATACAAAAAGAGGACCTTAATGATATAGATAATAAAATTACACAAAGACAACTTTCCAATTGTTAATGAGTCAATTTTTTAAAATATGCCCATATAGAAGGAATATTTTATAGTAGCCCATTTTAAGACATGATAAATTGAACACTAAATGCACATGCTTCGTAAACAGACTTGATTATGAGTCCTGATGCCATGTTTGTCTTAAATGAAATTAGAAACCTGTGGTGAGGTATTTTAAATCTTATATATGTGATGATACTCCCTTGAGGAAAAAAAAATATTGCAGATACTTCAGAGTTGAGAATGAGAGGCAAGGGTGCCCCAGTGAAGACATGACTTCCTTTTCTCTGCTCTAGATTTTTAATGCTATACTTTCTTAGATGGAATCTCCTTTGCAGACTGAAATAGATGCTAGGTTGTTAGAATAAATGCATAGGTACTCAGAAACCTGGTACAGTGGTGGCATTAATGATTTTTGAATATGGACCATTCTTTGCCTTCAATTACCTCTCCTATTTAGTCTGATAAATTAAGATTATCATATTCTCTTTTGGAGTAAATTTCTAAGTTACTCACAGGTACCTATTGACACATATTTGTGTTACTTCAATGAGAGAGTACATTTATTCATTGACAATCATAAACCTACAACCTAGATTGATTTATCAAATCACAATATTCAACAAAGAACCATGTCCTGAGGAAAAGAGGATCAAGACAAGTGGTAAAAAAGAAAAACCAAAGAAAAGCCATTAGCTCAAGCCGTCATTGAAACCTTTTGAATTGACGACAGCTCAAGATGACTGTTCTGGGTGGAGCAAGATCATTAAAAATTCATAAACTTGATCAAAAAAGGTTAGAGTTGAGTTTAAATTTGAGAATTGGTCATTGACCAAATTCATGGAAAGTATGGGAAAACTGAGGCTATGGTAATAATAGCACAGGCAGGAGGAACAATGAGACTAGGCTTTTAGTTTTAGAAGCCATGAGTTGGTCAATTGGATTTGACAAGAGGGATGGGGAAGACACTTGGAACTCCATGAAAAACTTTTAGTCCTGCCATATTTTCACAAAGGCAAGTTTGGATAGCTAAGAAGAAAATACAAGTGAAACTTAAATGGACTACTGTGGGAAGGTAGGTCTGCAAAGAGTGAAATGTGGCCTCTGCAAACTTAGAGGTCAGCACAAGAATACTGGATTTCTGGGTTGAGGGCTCTACAGAAAGAATGCTGAGAAAGACAGTAAAAGCAAACAGAAACAGAAACAGACACAGACCAAATACATATTTTATTCTGAGTATCTTTCTCCGTTTAAACAGATTTCTCTTTTATCTCTCTTCCTATTATCTGCTTTAAAAAAGCTCTAGATGAGGCTGAGACTAAAACATCTGGGTTAATTCCAGAGAAGGAGCTCAGATGTAGGCTTTGAATGTATTCAAACTAGAGCCACAGTTAGATTTTTAGAATAGCTTTTTGGAAAAGACAATGTGCATTTAGGTTTGTGCTTTGCTGCAATCTCCTATAACATGTTTCAATTAGTCGGTCAAAGATTTTTACCACAAATGTTAGTACTAGACACTGTAGAGTTAACAAAGAATTGACTCTGAAGGAAGGAAAAGATAAGACCTCTAATCTGGCCTTTCTATATCTCCAAATACCTTAGAGATTTTTGGACTTCAGCCTTCTGTTATATGTATTGCTACCAAATCTCAGCAGAATTTTTTTTCTTCAGTACTTTAAGGTTAAAGCCTGCAGCAACTTTTATTCAGTTGTCACCTTTGACCTGTTTCTTAGTGTCCTCCTTTTTTCATCCATCACTGATTCCTGGAGTGTTTTCTGAATAAGAGGAAGAGCCCCAGGAATACACACTGTCAGGATATTAGGCTATGTATAGTATCCTTTTCTATATCCCTCTTACATGTTTAACATATAATACAGAGGGCTAGATGAGTTCACTGAGGCATTCCTGTGATTCACAACAGCAGGCACAATTCACAGGCTCTGTCTGAAGTCTCTGGGCTTGGAAACGATCATTTGGACAGGTTTTCCTGAAGATAATTGAAAGTAAATACATTTATTACTAAACCTCCTTGATTCACTTAATTATGCACTAATGATGTGAAATGGCCTTTTAAAGAGGGTTGGGGATCCCTTTTGCAGTGTTGTAGCTTATTGTGCAATTTAGCTCCTCACTCAGAACTAGCATCTTTCTCTTTGGGATCGTCTGTATTCACTACAAAATCTGAGTGTGTTAAACAGATTATTACACCTACTAAAAACTTTTCTGAATGTGGACTAGAAGAAAATATAAATAATGAGTTCATTATAACAACCTTAATGGAGCTATTTTAAGGTCAGGGAGCAGACACCCAAGCAAAGTTCACTGATTTATAAATCTTCCGAATTTAAGTAACGTATTTCCACCCAAATAAATGTCTTACGTTGACCTAGTAGCTGTTAAATCTATTGTTGTTAATAAATTCTGTAATATACAAATTACCTCCCAATGTGCTTCATACTCCCATGGAATATAAGATATAATTAACCTTGTATGTTCACTTTAATGGTAATGTAGTATCAAGATAGATTTGATGATAGCTTTAATAATATCATATTATGGACAAACAATATATTTGCGTTTATTGTAAGTTACAGAATATATATTAATCAGAGTTAGACTATGTAATAGGTCTATTTTTCCACTAAATATATCCATGTTTTCAAGTACACGTTATACTATACTATACAAAAACATCCTCACAATCTATCTTTAATAAATCATTCATGAAATTGGAAGGATAACATGACTAGGTAATGACAGGACAGTTGGTCAATGTAAAGCATGGATTTGGGCCAGAAAATCTAAACAGCTATTCTTTGCAAAGAAAGACCACAGGGAAGCTGTAATACACCTAAAGATAAAAACAGTGAGATGAGGAAGCAATGTCAGCTCTCCATTTTCTTTACACTCTTGCTATGCCCAGCCAGTCATAGCATGAGTAGAATGCTTACCAAAACCATCTAAAGAAGCTTCCAAAAATAGGATTTACCTATGATCTGGGCCAGACTCAGGCAGTTGGTTGGACGCTTTGGCTTACTTGAGTCCTCAGATTCTTGGCCTTCTCAGAACTCTATGCACAAGGTTACTATAGCAATAAGAAACACCTTTATTCTCTCACCATCAAATCCACGAACCTATGAACATCTGTATTTTTCTACTCTCTAGCATTCTTTCTTCATATGTCTTTGAGATGTGAAGCTTTTTGGATGATGGTAACCTTGCACGTCTTCCTTTCTCATTCCCGTAACAGAGTTGCAGCAAATATCTAGCTCAAAATAATGACTTCTCCATCCCCTACCAGGTTGAGAATATAAAATTTAGTTTACATCTCAGCTTGACACCACTGTGTTACAATCTCCAGCTCAATATCAACATGACAAATAAACCTAAGAATGGTGAAACAGGGAAGAGACATGATATGAAATTCAATACATTATTGTCCAAATACAAACCCTACCACTTGCTAGCCACTCGCTAGCTCTATGGCCTTGGGAAAATCCCTTCACTTCTTTCAGGCCTAGTTTTCTTATCTATAAACTGGACATCATAAAATCTAAGTTTTTTTTCAAGTATAACATTCTCTAACTTTTTAAACTACCTTAGTTGGAAATCTGAATATAATTGATAGATAATCTGCATGGCAAGCATAAGACATAGAGACCAAGAAAGGCCAAGATATCACAAAAACCTCCTCAATATTAAGCACTTTAGTGGGTATGGTGGGTGGGAGAGGTAAAAAATTATCGGCACCTGGAATAGACAAGATGGGCTTCTAGAAATATAAAAAATAAAATAGGTTTTGACGTAACTATATTTGTATCACTAGACAAAAAGAAGAAATGTCTGCTAAATGAGGTAAAGCAAAGACCAGCAGGTTGAAATAAATATATTATATTGGATACAAATTAAGTGGAATAGGTCCATTGAAACAGAAGGTTAATATTTGGTAGTAGTTAAGAATCAGTCTTATTCTAGGTGTTGACTTAATAACTAATCAACGATCAATCAGTGAGAAAAATAATCAGAGGAACCATGTGACACAAGGAAAGAAAAAAATATCTTTTTCTAATAGTTGCTACCCCAAATTCCATCCAGATAGGGCATTAGCCTTCTCAAAAGTCCTTACTGATACATTCCTTGAACATGTATTGTCTACTATGTGCCAGGCACTCTGATAATTAGTGGAGAATGTTTTCAGTTTCACTTGTGAGGAACACAGAGGAAAAGCAGGTAAATTATATGAAAGAGATGTTATTACGTATCAGTAGAAAAGTATTCATTATTTAATATAGTGTGAGTCTATCACAAGATGAAGTCCCACGATAAGCCATCTGCAAGCTAAGGAGCAAGGAAGCCAATCCGGGTCCCAAAATTTCAAAAGTAGGGAATCTGACAGTGCAGCCTTCAGTCCATGGCTAAAGTTCCGAGAGCCCCTGGAAAACCACTGGTGTAAGCCCAACAATCAAAAAGCTGAAGAACTTGGAGTCCTACATTTGAGCGCAGGAAGCATCCAACATGGGAGGAAGATGAAGGTAGGAAGACTGAATCAGTCTGGTCCTTCTACATTCCTCTGCCTCCTTTTATCCTAGCTGCACTGGCAGCTGATTAGATGGTGCCCACCCAGATTGAGGGTGTGTCTGCCTCTCCCAGTACACTGACTCAAATGTTAGTCTCCTTTGGCAACACCCTCACAGACATACCCAGGAACAATCCTTTGCATCCTTTAATCTAATCAAGTTGACACTCAGTGTTAACCATCACAATAACTAATAATCTCATGATAAAAAATCCAAAGCTTTCTTCATCACAAAATTCACAGACATAAATTTCCATAGATTTAAAAGCAAATCATAAAAAGACTTTTTAAGTCTTAGAAAAAATACTTTTTTACCTCAGGGTAGAAAAAGATTAACTTAAACACAAAAAAACACAAGTCATAAAGTGCTGATAAATTCTGAATGGCAAAATGTAGGATAAGCAGATATGAACCACAATCTGGAATAAGATATTTGAAATGTATACCAGAAAATAATATTAGCAAACATATTAACGAACTTCAAGATATCAATAAAAAGAAACCTCAAACAAAAATTGTCAAATATATGACCAAGCACTTCATAGAAGAGGAAATCAAAATGGACCAGAAACATGAGCATGCTCAAAATTACCAATAATTAGGTAAATGCAGATTAATACAAAATTATTTACAATTTCACAACCATGAAACTGACAAAAATATTAAAAAATGGATCATACTTAGAGTTAATGACAATATGGAGAATTATAAACTTTCACTCACTGTTGTTGGAAGTGTGATTAGAACAACACTCTTGATATGAAATTGAGAACTATCAAGGGGGATTAAAATTGTATATAATTTACAACTATTTCTACTCTCAGTGACATACAGTACAGAATTTCATACATACATAAAAGGAGATATATACGAATGTTTGTTATATGGCAACAAATAAGGCCATATTACTAGTTTTTCAAAGAATGAAAAATTACAATTAAGATCTTCAGAAGCTCAGGTGAGCCAGGAATGAGCTAAGCTATCAGGCAGTGGAGTAGACAATTAAAGCAAGTCAATAATGAAACAGTTTATGCTTGATCACTTACTGCAATGTACAGACAAGAGAGGAAACTGGAGAAACTTGGATTTCTCTTATGGACAGTTGCACTGGTTGAGGCTCAGCAAAGATAAAGGGGTCCTCTCCCTGCTGAGGGAGCCCGAAACAGAAAGCCCCTGCAGTTTTATGAACCCAGGGCCAGAGGCAAGCAGAAGGAGAAGGGTTAAGAGTGTAAACATACTGGGACTAAGTCAGAATGGAGAGAAGTCTCTTCAAAGTTTCCCCCTGTCAAAATTAAAAATAGACAAACATTGGATAAAAACAGGTTTTATTCAGTAATTACTGACTGTAGGGGAAAGAACTGAGCTCCATTCCCATTTGTGGAAACATGCCTGTACATTTTCAAGGGAGCGTGAAGGAGGAGGGACTGTGGGCACTCAGTAGAGTCAAAAAAGCAAAAATGTACGAAGGGTTGGTTAATGTAAACATGATTAGGCCAGCTGTGTCTGCTTGCTGGAAGTTATGGAAGTTAGGATGCTATACTCTCACAGAGACTAGGAGAGAGGCCTTATCCTTCTTGTTGATTACATTTCAATGGAATGGCTCTTGTGTCCTTGAGAAAGATCATTCTGAGTTGCAAGAAATACATGTTCACAATTGTAAGCCCTTTTTAGAAAATGCTCTAAGAAAGGGAGCTCCAGGGTCTATCATCAGGTGCTGACTAGAACAAATAATAAATTTCCTTTGTAGCCTTAAGTTTTCTCAGGCAGGCATATAAATAGGGGGCTGGGATAAATTTAGGGACACAGCCTTAGGCTGTTAGATGCCATAGCAGAATTTCGTCAAGTCTCTTAGTGCAGGGATTTGGATGGAGTTGTTATGTGACAATAGTCCTGCAGTTCTTATCTCTCATTCCCCCCATTGGGAGGCATTGGAAAAAATGCCTGAAAAGGGTCTCAGATAACCAGACCTAGGAATAAAGATATTGGGGCTACAGTGTTTGTTAGGAGTGTCTGAAGTGGGAGGGACAGTGTCATAATATTTATGAGGTTTTAGGGTTTGGTTTAAGATGATTTCTTCAATGTGAGGGCTTGATTAGGATTAGGTAATGATTATGTAATAGCTATGAGTTAGGAGACACTGTAAGATGAGGATTTTCATCTCAGAGATTGAAAGAGGGTACTATTATTTGATGTTATCCATTGAAAAACTGAGCCGTTTCCAGTGAGTTTGGGGAAAGTTCTTGAAAGTAACAATAAAGTTATTTACAACTCTTCTCTTCCTAGGAAAAAGTTAAAATAGTAAAGTAATGTTAGTGAAACCAGCCTAAAAATATAGACATATTAATGTGGACGGTAAGCTATATGTGTTTTGGTTCTCAACTACAAATGTGTGGTACTACCTCAAGTTCCCTTTAATAATATATTATGATTAGACTGATTTTTATTAATGGTTTTGTGATTATTTGTAAGGTTTAGAAGTTATTTAAACCTTATATTTAAATCTTATATGTCTGAACATTCCCTGCATTTTTTTCTTAAATAGAAATTTTTCCATTAAATATTTCAGTTACAAGAGAGGTATTTATTTTTCTTATTTTATGTTATACTTTTTCTCATAAGGTTTATTCTATTCTTTAAGCCTTTCATTATAATTGTTGTTAAAGGTGTTTGGCAACAAGAAGGACAAAAGAGAAGTAAAGACTAATACTCTCTCAGAATTGAATTTTTCTTGTCATTCAAACTTAGTGAGAAAACAAATAAAAATACAGGCGAAATAAGTAGGCATTCAACAATCATTTAACAAATAAATAAATATGTACCTTAAAATGTGTTTGATTTTTAAGAACAACCCAGTAAATGGCAGGATACCATTTGCGGTTGATTTCATACTTGGGTTTCAGTGATCAAACCAACCCAACAACCAAATAAGAAATAGCATTACGAGTTTGGGGTAGGGGGAGTGTATTAGCCGCATTTCCATATTTCACAAATTTGAAGCTAAACATCTGCCCTATATGCGTATGCCAGGCATACCTTGTTCTGAGCAACCAAATAATATGCTCATGTCATCTTGCCCTGGCTCCCCATCTTCCTTGTTGACTCTCCTTAGTAACAGTTTGCTTCTCAGGTTTGTGCTTTTTAAATACAAACCAACCAATCCAGAGCCCACAATCCCAACCATCTCTTTCATCAGGCTCTTATACTCCAGACCACTATTCACCTGCCCTAAGCACCCCCATGGCCAGCCACCAGACCAACAGAGACAGTCCCTATGCCCCAGAGCCTGCTGAAAGTATTCAAACGGGCCAGTCCTCAGCCTGCTTACCATGCGTCATCTGTCATTTCCCACACAAATCACAAAAAGGCTCTTCTCACAGTCTTTCTCCCTCTGTCTCCTGACCAACTCCAGTGCTGTCCTGTGCCCCTCACTTCCATAGCTTGTCCCCTCCCTTTGAGAACTGTGAGTAATACACTATCTCTTCAATGACAATTGCCTCCTGAACTTTTGGCCTTTCTATACCTCAACTTTTCTATTTCACGCTGTCATTTAATTCAGGTTATGTCATATATATATGTATATATATATGTCTCTATATATGTATATATGTCTATATATGTATATATGCATATATATGTATATATGTGTATATATGCATATATATGTATATATGTATATATATGCATATATATGTATATATGTGTATATATATGCATGTATATGTATATATGTATATATGTATATATGTATATGTGTACATATGTGTATATATGTATATGTGTATATATGTATATATGTATATATGCATATATGTATATATGTATATATGTGTATATATGTATATATGTATATATGTATATATGTGTATATGTGTATATGTGTATATATGTGTATATGTGTGTGTATATGTGTATATGTGTGTGTATATGTGTATATGTGTATATGTGTATATGTGTATATATGTATATATGTGTATATGTGTATATGTGTATATATGCATATGTGTATATGTGTATATATGTGTATATGTGTGTATATGTGTATGTGTATACATGTGTGTATATGTATATATGTATACATGTGTATATATGTATATATGTATACATATGTACATATGTATACATATGTGTGTATATATGTATATGTGTGTACATATGTGTATATGTATATATGTGTACATATGTGTATATGTATATATGTGTACATGCGTGTATATGTATATATGTGTACATGCGTGTATATGTATATATGTGTACATGCGTGTATATGTATATATGTGTACATGTGTGTATATGTATATATGTGTACATGTGTGTATATGTATATATGTGTACATATGTGTATATGTATATATGTGTACATGTGTGTATATGTATATATGTGTACATGTGTGTATATGTATATATGTGTACATGTGTGTATATGTATATATGTGTACATGTGTGTATATGTATATATGTGTACATGTGTGTATATGTATATATATGTGTACATGTGTGTATATGTATATATATGTGTACATGTGTGTATATGTATATATATGTGAGTGTATATATATATGTTTATATATATGTGTGTGTGTATATATATATATATAGTTTTTCCTGGGTTCAGATTTAGATTTTAATTTCATCATATAACATTTCCAGATTTGACAAAAAGAATGACCACCACAAATGTAAGAAGAACCGAAGACTAGGATAAATATAATGTTTTCCCCAGGAAATAATAGTTAATATTGAATATTTATAATGTACTGGGAACTAAGTTAAAATTTTCATTTTCATTATTTCATTTAAATCTTATTACTGTATGAAGTCTGATGATTACTATCAACATTTTATGGAAAAGGAAACAGAGGCTCAAGGACATTGAGTGTCTTCCTCAAGATCACAAAGCTTACATGTGGCAGAATTGGTACTCAAAGCCAGACAGAGTACAGAGCCTGCACTCTTAACATTTGTACACAAAATTTTTCCTAGAATAACCATAACCAACAAAAATCACAATGGTGATTTTATATATATATATATATAAAATATATGTAATTATGTACATATAATTATCAACATTGATTATGCTATTACTAGGCATTAGGTGATACTATACCACTGAAAAGTGATGGACCCAGGATTCAAGCTAAAGCTAGTTAACCTAAAAATGTGTGTCCTTTTAAGTATCAGTGTTATTTCTCTCATTTTGCCCCAGTAAAGCTTTCATCACTAAGAGTATTTGGGAGCCACTTTGTTGTACTATAACAAATTTTCCTTTTTCAATAAAGAAAGATTTGTCCAAGATAGATTAAAATAACATTAATTTAAGTGATATCTAATTATAGAAGTCTCTTTCACATTTATTTCTCCAAAGAAAAGTACCAATTCCTGAGCAAATAAAAACTAATTTGACATCTGGAATCATGTTTATCAAGCTTAGCAAATCAGGGGTTCTTTTAAAACCAAAAGACGACAACTTTGAAAAAATTGTAGGCAACCAGAGGATTCAGATACTTTTTCCAAAAGATTTAGCCCTTTATTTTTATTTTTCTCCACCTTAATTGAGGTGTAATTGACAAATAAAATTTGTGTATATTTAAGGTGTGCAACTTGATGTTTTGATATTCACAATACATTGTGAATTGATTGCTATAATCAAGCTAATTAATATACCCATTAATTCACATAGATGCCTTTTGTGTGTGTGGTGAAAATACTTATCTCTTAGCAAATTTCTAGTATACAGTACATTATTACCAACCGTAATCAACATGTTGTATAATAAATCCTTAGAACTTAATCATCCTATAACTGAAAGTTTGTGCAATTTGATCAACATCTCCCCATTTCCCCCACCTCCCAACCCCCAGTAACTACCCTTGTACTGTCTATTTTTATGAGTTTGAGTTGGTAAGATTCTACTTATAACTGACATCATGCAGTATTTGCTTTCTGTGGCTGGCTTATTTCGCTAGCATTATGCCCTCCAGGTTCATCCATGTTGTCACAAAGGACAGGATTTTATTCTTTTTTATGGCTGAATAATATTCTATATATATGGTGTGGAGAAAATGAGGGGATATTGATCAAAGGGCACAAACTTTCAGTTGTAAGATGAATAGGTTCTGAGGATCTATTTTACAGCATGGTGACTGTAGCTAATATGTTGTTATATAATAACATATATGATAATAATGTAAGTATGTGTGTGTGCGCCACATTTTCTTTATTTATTCATCAATTGATGCACACTTAGGTTGTTTCCATGTCTTGGCTATTGAGAATAATGTTCCAAGGAACATAGGAGTACAGACATCTCTTTGACATACTGATTTTATGTCCTTTGGATATATGCCCAATGTTAGTCCTAACTGCACCATTTTGTAAGCTCCCTGCTATTTTGCAGACCTTGGTCAAAGTGAAACAATTCATGGGGGTTCGGGCCTTGATAAACCACCTGACCACAAGGTGGACAAAGGCCCAACTGAAGAAAGAGCCTGCCTCTTATCATATTCTGCTGGGAGAAAGTACAAGGAGTACCACATTCTGCCGGAACAAGGGTCAGAACCACCTCATCATGGGGACATCTTATCAATATCCTTCCAGGCAGCAAGCCATATTGCTCAGACCCCTCCTGCCCATACCTAGAAATTACCCCAGCCTGTAAGCAGCAGCGGGCACTGACATAGGCTGGTCCCCCACTTCTGTAGGTTTTATCCTGGACATAAAGCCTGCATTTGCTGTGAAGCTCTTTCTGTGTGTGTGTCTTTCTTTAACCCTCACCTTCCCTTCAAAACCTAACATTTTGGTGCTGAAACCAGGTATGAGGATTGGGTTCTAAGGTGTAAGTCTTCTCTTGTAACCTGGAAAGTAGCAAACAGCAAAAACTAGACCCGGGCCTGCTTCCTGATCCAGAGTGGACTCCCTGTTCCCAGCCCCATTCGCCTTATTCTCTCTTCTTCTCTGGCCCTGGGCTAACCTCCAGACCCTGGTCAAACTCTCCGTCCTCTTTTTCTTTCTTCCTCTTTCCAAGCAGCTCCAGCAAGGATTGATCCCATTGTTGGACATCACATCCAACACTGGTCTCCAATTAGTGGATGAGTTTCCCTTTCCTCTTTTCTGAATTCCTCTCTGTTTCTTCTGGTTCCAGAAAATCCCAGCGCTGGGTGAGAGGTCTCCCTGGTCACCAGGTGACCGCAGCCCACTTTCTCAGGGGATGCCCTCAGAAAGCTTGCTGCTCCAGCTGCTCTGGCCACTCTGGCCTCCAGGGGACAGCAAAGATCTGCAGGGATGCCCTGGCTCTCCTATGTCCCTTATCCAGGGAGGAATGGGGTACTCACTCCCCTCCTCTAAATTTCTCACCCTTCCAGTCACCAGTATGGGGCAAGGCTCTTTAAAACCACCTGGAGACACCACTCTCGAATGTCTCATCTGGAACCTCCAGGCCCAGGGCTTAGAGGACTCCATTAAAACTGAACACCTTATTTACTCCTCTTACATGTCTCATCTGAATTCTCCAAGCCCAGAGCTTAGTGGACTCCTTAAAACCAAATGCCTTGCTTTCTTCTGTACTTTTCCTCTGTAATGTTGCCTAGCCCCAATGTAAATTGGACAATAATAATCAATGGGCAAAAATCAAAACATTTATTTCTAAATTCAACAAAACCTAAAAAACTTCCAATGCAATGGTAAATGATCCGAAGTGCTTTGCTTATCTCTGTTCGTGGCTCTCTATCTCTGCTAATTCTGTTAACCTTTTCAAATCCTCCTCTTCAGCAAAAAACCCACAAAAATGCCTCTTCCCCTGGACATGCCTTCCTCCTCTAATTTCAACCCGGCCAACAAACCGTGTCTCATGCCCAACCCCCTTCCGACAAAAACCAGGCACATGCTCAAAGGCCCTCCAAAGTCTTCCCTTTATAAGAGGTGACAGGGAGGAAAGCATAATCTGAAATCACATTCCCTTCTCCCTAGCCAACCTCTCTCAGCTTGAAAAGAGACTAGGCTCCTTTTCCCCGGATCCCACCTCTTCCTGCAAAGAATTTCTGCATTTCACTCAATCTTATAACCTTACCTGGCATGACATATATGTCATCCTCTCCTCCACCCTCACCCCGGAAAACAGGGAACACATCTGAATGGCCTCCCAGGTCCATGCAAACACCTTCCACCAACAAGATGCTGCCCATAACCCAGTAAGGACCCTAGGTGCCCCCAGAACTGATCCCAGTTGGGATTATCAAGCAAATTTTGCAGGCAGACAGAAACAAGACCATATGATATCTCTAGCCATATTATGCCTCCTAGCTGGCATAAATAAAGCCATTCCTGCTCTTTTCCTTTCCCACCTTTCAGAGGCCGTAACTAAATCTACCACTTTATGACCTAATACCAATAAGGGCAGAATCTATCTCCATTTTCACTTCATTTCCCAGTGAGCCCCAAACATCAAATAAATAAATAAATATATAACTGGAGGATGGCCCTCAAATCTCCCAAAGAGACTTAATCAAAGTGACCTTCAAGGTCTTTAACAATAGAGAGGAAAAACTGAAAACCCAAAAGCTTAAAACAGACCGAGCTAAATACCAACCGCTGGCAGCTGCCAAACAACAGGGTTCCCAATGCATACAGAAATCCTCAACCTTACCACAAACTCTGCCGGAAACCTGTTTGAAGTGCAGCCAACAGGGTCACTGGGCAAAAGCCTGCTCTAATCCCAGGCCACTCTCAAAACCTTACCCCATCCATGGCATCAACGAACACTGGAAGTCGGACTGTGCTCTGCAAAACTCATCATCCCACTTCATCACCTCTAACTGAAGAATGCTGGGGCCCGGAATCCACTGTCCCCACTGTCCCCACTGCCATCACCACCACGGAACCCAAGGTAACGCTGTCAGTCACTAGTAAGCCCATGTCTTTCCTATTGGATATGGGGGCTAGTTACTCAGTTTTACCAGAATATTCTGTACCCCTCCTCAGTTCTTCTATCTCTATTGTGGGAGTCAATGGAATCCCCTCTAGGCACAAACAGACTGGTCCTCTATAATGCAACCTATTCAACACCCTCTTCACCCACTCCTTCCTGGTTATCCCTCAGTGCCCTTCCCCTATCTTGGGGGTGAGACCTACTAAGTAAGTTCCAGGCCTCCAGACAATTTGCCTCCTGCAATTCTACCTTTTTTATTTTACTCTGCCATGCAGATGCTTCCCTCTCCTCCCCCTCATCCTCATTATCTGCCCTGTTAGCTTCTGTTAACCCTGAAGTGTAAAATGTTTCTAAACCCACAATAGCCACACATCACATCCCAGTCAAAATAACCCTCCAAAACCCTTCCATGTTTTTTTCATCAGTCTCAATATTCCCTTAACCCAGCCAGCCTCTGGGACCTTAAACCTATCATCTGTAAACTTTTACAAGCTCAAATTCTCAAGCCTGTCAACTCTCCTCACAACACCCCTATCTTGGCTGTCAAAAAGACAGATGAGTCCTACTGCTTGGTCCAGGATCTCTGAGTTGTTAATCAGGTGGTGGTGCCAATTCATCTGGTTGTCCCCAACCCATATATTTACTCTCCCTTATTCCTCCATCTATCACACACTTCTCTGTATTAGAACCAAAGAACACTTTTTTCATTATTCCCTTAAATCTGGCACCCCAAAGCCTTTTTGCTTTCACTTGGTCAAATCCTTATACTCACATGTCCACCCAACTAACATGGACTGTACTCCCACAGGGGTTTCAGGATAGTCCCCACCTATTCAGGCAGGCCCTCACCAAGGGCCTAACTAAATTTCCCCTTGCCTCTAGCACCCTCCTCCAATACATCAATAACCTCCTTCTCTGTAGCCCCTCCCTTCACCTGTCCATCTTATACACCACTCAGCTTTTAAACTTCCTCCATAGTCAAGGATATGGGGTCTCACCCACAAAATTTCAGGTAGCCCAAACCCAGGTCACTTACCTTGGACTTGCCCTAACCCCTAATTCTCGGGCCATCCGAACCCAACAAAAGGAGCTAATTTGGGACATACCCCTTCCCCACACAAAGAAGCACTTCCTCTCCTTCTTGGGCCTTATGGGATACTTCTGGCTGTGGATTCCCAATTTCGACATACTGGCCAAGCTGCTCTACACAGCCTCACATAGACCCATTACAAAACCCCTTGATTCAGCTTGCCCCATCAACTACAACTGTAAAAAAAATTAAAAATGCCCTTTTTGTAGCCCCAGCACTGGGACTGCCCAACCGCACCAAGCCCTTACTCTGTATGTATATTCTAACTAAGACCTTGTTCTTGGACTACTTTGCCAAACATACAGCCACTGCATACCTCTCAAAACTACTGAATTATGTCATCCAAGGCTGGCCGCCCCGCTTAAAAATCTTGAGTGTGGCCACATTGTTTGCCTCAGAGGCACAGAAACTCACTCTCTACCAACAACATTACTATTGCATCTTCCCATAACCTACAGGAACTCATGAGCCATCAATGCCTTCTATGCTTCCCACCATCCCGCTTACTGCAGGTACACGCCTTATTCATAGGAAACCCTCTAATCACCTTCCAGAGATGTAAAGCTCTCAACCCAGCCACCCTCTTCCCTGTAAACATCTCCAAGTCTGAGCTCTCTCACTCATAAAATCCAATGCTCTCACACGCCATACTACCTCTCACAGGTGGAGCTAGTTGCATTAACCAAGGCCCTAACCCTAGCAAGGGAAGAAGGCTTAACAGTTACACCAATTCCAAATATGCATATCACATCCTACACTCTCATGTCTTAATCTGGCAGGAAAGGGGTTTTCTAACCACAAAAGGTACCCCCATAGGAAATAACAAACTCATTTACAAGTTGCTGGAGGCGGCTAAACTACCACCACAGGCTGCCATTTTCTATTGTAAGGAACACCAAAAGGCTACAGATGCCATAACCACGGGAAACTTTTTAACAAATTCAGCACCCCAGCAGGCAGCCTTTAAAACCCCATTATTATTGCCCATTTTTCCCAGCATACACCCTATATATACCCAGGAGAAACAAACCTCATTTGCCCAGGCTGGTGTTGTTCAGGAAAAAATGGTTCTACCTCAATGACAAATTGTCTTGCCCAATTCCCAGAAACCTTCTGTACTTTCATATACGCACAACCATTTCCATGTGGTTTACTGCCACCTACTCCAGCTTTTAAAAACTTATATATATTCTCCCATCATGGCCGCCAATCACAAAAATATTACTAACGCGTGTTCCCTTTGCACTCAGACTTCTCCTCAAGAAGGTATCAAATCACCTCCCTTCCCCACACACCAAGCTCAAGGACACCTGCCAGGGCAGGACTGGGAAATCAACTTCACACACATGCCTCCTATAAAACGAGTCTGATACCTTCTGACAATAATAGATACATTCTCTGGATGGATAGAAACTTTTCCTACCACCACCAAAAAGGCACACACTGTCACTTCCATTCTTCTCACCCATATTATCTCCCAGTTTAAACTCCCCTCTTCCATTAGGCCAACATTTGTTTCACAGATTAACCAACAGCTGGCGAAGGCTCTAAACATTAAATAGCGTTCCATATTCCTTATTGCCCCCAATCTTCAGGAGAAGTTAAATGGACCAATGCCCTTTTGAAACAACAACTAACCAGATTCTCTAGAGGTTAAAATGGCTGGACTTCACTTCTCCTATTGGCCCTCATGCCCTTGCAAGCCATTCCCCAAAAGCCCCTCATCCTAAGCCCATTTAAACTCAGGTACAAACACTCCTTTATCCTCCAGAATCTCCCTGTCTCTTCTTCCCCTTCTGTACCAGATACTTGGCCAGCACTACACTTCACTCAACATCTAATAAGACAGTATGCAAATGTTTACTTGCCCTAGCCTGAAAGTCCATCCTCGAAATACCCCTCCCTCTCCCTACAACCAGGGGACTGGGTCTGGATCGCAGACTCTTCCTCCTCCCCTCTCCAACCTAAGTGTACGGGTCCTCACCAGGTTATCCTAGCTAATCCCACAACAACAAAGCTAACATCCCTTCCACACTGGATACATCATTCCAAACTAAAAAGAGAACCAGATCCACATCCAGAAATTTCCTCCCCCCCCACCCCCCCGCCCCCACCAAATTATTCTCCCTCTCTCACAGGACCAACCTCTCTGCACTCAACAGAAATTCCAGAAGTTGCCAATCCAGAAGGCCTTGATCCATAACATTCTCTGCCTTTAATTTCAAATCTATTATCTCATACCTTGTTTCAGATCTTTCCTGGTATCCCTTTCCCATGTCCCTGGAGAGTCCACTCCAATTTCTCACAATAATCTGGGAGCTATGGCTGCAGGACACATTCCAAAATTTCACTCCTACTCAAATCTCCTTTTTCTCCTTTTGTCCTCTTTGTCTGTGGGATACTGTAAGTCCCCACTCCCAACCTCTGGCAGTTGGGCCCCCTTTGTCAGCCTCACACATCCCCTCTTAAATCAGTCACACTCCCTTCTTTCTTCCAACTGTTAAATTTGTTGTTGACACAAATCCAGCAGTTCACAGCCCTCCGGTTAACCTAACTGCATAAATCTGATCCAAAAATAAATCCGAATCTCACCTACTCAGCCAATCCATTCCCAAAACCTGTTTATAATCTTGCTTGGCTAAACGCGATTCCCGCAAATCCACCCACAGCATCACGCACAGGGCTGTCACCCTCCTTTGCCTCATGGCCTCTAAATTAAACATGTTACAAGCCGGATTCCATAAAACGCCCCTTACCAATCTCTCCCCTCTCTGCTGCAGCTGCTCTCCATGTATCCAACTCACAGACACTCTGAAAGAAATGCACAAACAATTCCCTCAACTGCAGCCTACATCCTTCTGCCCTATCAGGACTGCAATGGCTATTAGTTAAAAAGCTCTTTTATCTCTCTCTCTACAAAGCCAAACAGCCTTCACCTCCTTCTCCACCAACATTCCCTATCAGGCTCTCATAGTGGCTACTGTTGTTAACAGCTATTCAACCTAGAAAAAACAAAAAGGTTGAGACAAAAATTTTTTCCAGGATTCAACTGCCACCTTCTCATGGCTTGCTACCTTCACTTACAACTTTTGCCTGTCAACCTCCAGTCTTTTCTGGGTGGCACAAACTCTTATCTTGCTTACTGGCAGGTGGGTCAGGAATGTGCACCCTGGTTTGTCAATCTCCAAACATTAACATTTTGCCAAACAACCAGCCCATCCAGGTTCCTTTAGTAACTTCTGTCTCATCTTCCTCCACATGCACTATGTGGTTTCTACATCTCATTCCTCTGGAAACAGGAATACACATCTCCTCTGCACTTGCTACCAGAATAGCAAATATATCAACCTCAACTGCCCTATAAAAAAATATCTACAGTCCTCTATAATACCCTAAAGGACATGTATAATTCCATTACGAGACTCCAAAGGCAGATAAATTTCCTTGTGGGAGTCATCTTCCAAAACCAAAGGGCCTTAAACCTGCTATCTGCTGAGAAGGGGGGGGGTACATAAGTATATCTCCAAGAAGAATCTGTTTTTAGGTTAATGAATCTGGCATTGTTAACTGCACAGCCCACAGACTCCATAACGGCTGCAGAAATCCAACATCATGACACTGACTCTTAGTGGCAGGAGTCATTCCTCCTAAAGTGAATCCCCCTTTCTTAGGGCCCCTGATTTTCTTCCTCATAATAATAACAATCGGTCCATGTATAATCGCCTTCATATTCTACTTTATCTCCCAAAGGCTGAACTCCCTTGTCTAGGCAGCCACCCAAAAACAATTGATACCATCTTTCTCCTCCGCCAAGTCTGGTGTCAGCACCTCCAGGAAAACAACTCTGAAGTCAGACATCCACTACTTCAAAACCCAAACCCTGATTACAGTGCCGTTATTCAGCAGGAAACAGCCAGATAACCAAAAATGCCCCACTTTCTTTTATATTAAAGTAAAAGGCAAGAATGTTAGTCCAAAGTGCACCATTTTATAAGCTCCCCATTATTTAGCAGGCCTCAGTCAAAGTGAAACATTTCACTGGGGTTCGGGCCGTGAGAAACAACCTGCCTAACCACCTGACCACAAGGTGGACAAAGGCCCAAATGAAGAAACAGCCTGCCTCTTATCATATTCTGCTGGGAGAAAGTACAAGGAGGAGCACCACATTCTACCGGTACAAGGGCCAGAACCACCTCATCATGGGAACATCTTATCAGTATCCTGCCGGGCAGCAAGCCATACTGCCCAGACCCCTCCTGCCCATACCTAGAAATTACCCCAGCGGTGGGCACTGTCATTAGGCTGGTCCCCCACTTCTGTAGGTTTTATGCTGAACTTAAAGACTGCATTTGCTGCCGAGCCACCTTCTTTCTGTGTGTGTGTCTTTCTTTAACCCTCACCTTCCCTTCAAAACCTAACACCCAGAAGCGTGATTGCTGGATCATATGAGAGTTCTATTTTTAATTTTTGGAGAAACTTCTATGCCATTTTCCATAATGGCTATACTAATGTACAATCTCACTAACAATACGTAAAGTTTCCCTTTCCTTCACATCCTCTTCAACACTTGCTATCTTTTGACTTTTTGATAATAGTCTTCCTAATAGGTATGTGGTGATATCTCATTATATTTTTCATTTACATTTTCTAATGATTAATGGTGTTTGATCAATTTTTCAGATACTGTTGACAATTTGTATGTCTTTCTTGGAGAAATATCTATTTAGATTCTATGGTTATTTTTCAAAATCAGGTTATTTCTTGTTTGCTATTCAGTCGTAACAGCTTCTTACATGTTTTGAATTTTAACCTCTTATCAGATACATAATTTGTAAATAGTTCTTCTATTCTGTAGGTTGCCTTTTCATTTTGTTAACTGTTTCCTTTCCTGTGCATATATAGTCACATTTGATTATTTTTGCTTTTGTTGCCTTTGCTTTTGGTGTGATATCCAAAAGATCATTGCCAGGATTAATGTCATGAAACTTTTCCCTTGTGTTTTCTTTTAGGAGATTTAGTTTCAGGTCTTCAAGTTTAGTCTATAATCTATTTTGAGTTGATTTTTGTGTATGGTGTCAGATAATAATTCAATTTCATTGTTCTGCATGTGGATGTCATTTTCTTAACACCACTTACTGAAACTTCTAACCTTTTTCCATTCTGTATTTTTGGCACCTTCATTGAGGATTAGTTGACTGTATATGTGTGGGTTTATTTCTGGTCCTTCTATTATGTTCTGTTGGTCTATGTATCTGTTTTTTATGTCAAAATTATGCTGTTAGGCTCACTATAGCTTTGTAATATAATTTAAAATTAAGAAGTATAATGCCGCTAGCTTTATTCTTCTTGCTCAAGATTGCTGGAGCTATTAGGGTCAAAGTACTTAATCTTATTTATTCAAATATATTAGTCTTTATGGTTTGGTTTGACCATGTGTTAATGGTTTCCCTAAGTATTTGATCCTTTTTTTTTTCCTCAACTATTGTAAATTTCTAGTATCTGAAGTACTGTTTGAACTTTGAAATCTTAGTAATGCTGTTCTCTTCTCTTTCTATGTTCACTTATTTCTCATTTTTCTCTTACCTATTTCTGTCCTAATCTGTCCTTAATATTTTACCTAACACAAATCCTGAAAAAAAAATATTTCTCTTTGGAAGCTTTCAATACTTTTTTTTTGCCTTTAGCTTTCAGGTGTTTAAGTAGGATGAGTCTTGGCTGGAATTTTTGTTTGGGGTTTGCTCAGATTACTGAATATGTAGGTGAAGGGGTGGCCTGCCCCTCCACACCTGTGGGTGTTTCTCATCTGGTGGGACCAGAGACTGAGAAAAGGAAGAGACACAGAGACAAAGTATAGAGAAAGAAATGTGGGCCAAGGGGACCCGCGCTCAGCATACGGAGGACCCACGCTTACACCGGGTCTCTGAGTTCCCTCAGTATTTATTGATCATTATCTCTACCATCTCGGAGAGGGGGATGTGGCAGGACAATAGGGTAATAATGGGGAGAGGGTCAGCAGGAAAACATGTGAACAAATGTCTTAAGAAAAAGGTGCTGTGCTTTGATGTGCACATACATAAACATCTCGATGCATTAAAGAGCAGTATTACCGCCAGCATGTCTCACCTCCAGCGTTAAGGCGGTTTTCTCCTATCTCAGTAGATGGAACATACAATCGGCTTTTACACCGAGACATTCCAT
Source organism: Homo sapiens (assembly GCF_000001405.40). NCBI lineage: Eukaryota > Metazoa > Chordata > Mammalia > Primates > Hominidae > Homo > Homo sapiens. Next base: position 3,782,948 of record NC_000024.10, on the reverse strand, counting down.
TGCCCAGGGATGAGCAGGAGACAGAGATGCCTTCCTCTTATCTCAACTGCAAAGAGCCCTTCCTCTTTTACTAATCCTCCTCAGCACAGACCCTTTACGGGTGTCGGGCTGGGGGATGGTCAGGCCTTTCCCTTCCCAGGAGGCCATATCTCAGACTATCACATGGGGAGAAACCTTGGACAATACCTGGCTTTCCTAGGCAGAGGTCCCTGCAGCCTTCTGCAGGGTATTGTGTCCCTGGGTACTTGAGATTAGAGAGTGATGATGACTTTTAACAAGCATGCTGACTTCAAGCACTTGTTTAACAAAGCACATCCTGCATAGCCCTAAATCCACCAAACCTTGAGTCAATACAGCACATGTCTCTGCGAGCACAGGGTTGGGGGTAGGGTTACAGATTAACAGCATCTCAAGGCAGAAGAATTTTTCTTCGTACAGAACGAAATGGAGTCTCTTATGTCTACTTCTTTCTACATAGACACAGAAGCAGCCTGATCTCTCTTTCCTTTCCCCACAGTAGGTTTATCTCTTTCACCAAATTTGAGAATTTTTAGGCATTATTTCTTTGAATACAAACATATCTCATTTTATTGTGCTTTATTTTATTGAACTTTTCAGATACTCTGCTTTTTAGAAAATAAAGGTTTGTTGCAACCCTGTGTTGAGTAAGTCTGTTGGCACCATTTTTCCAACAGTATGATCTCACTTTTTATCTATCACATTTTGTACATTATCACAGTATTTCAAACTTCTAAATTATTACTCTATCTGTTATGGTGATCTGTGATCAGTGATCTTTGGTGTTACTATTGTAACTGTTTTGGGGCACCACAAACCACACTCATATAGGATGGCAAACTTAATCTATAAATGTGTGTTTTGACTGCTCCACTTACTGGCTGTTACCCTGTGTTTCTTCCTCTCCTAAGGCCTCCCCAATCCCTGAGACACCACAATATTGAAATTAGTCCAATTAATAACCCTACAATGATGACTCAGTGTTCAAGTTAAAGGAAGATTTGCACATATCTCACTTTAAATCAAAAGCTAAGGATGTCAAAAGCTGGGTCTCTTAAGCCAAACAGTCAGCCAAGTTGAGAATGCAAAGGAAAAGTTATTGAGGGAAATTAAAAGTGCTACTCCAGTGAACATACAAATGATAAGGAAGCAAAACAGCCTTATTGCTTATATGGAGAAAGTTTGATTGGTCTGACAGAAGATCAAACTAGGCATAACATTCACTTAAGCCAAAGCCTAATCTGGAGCAAAGCCCCAAATATCAGTTCTTCTAATCTGTGAACATCCTATATATTTCCATTCATTTGTGTCTTCTTTAATTTCTTTCATCAATGTTTTATAGTTTTCAGTGTTTAGCACTTTCACTTTATTTGTTAAATTTATTTTTACATATTTTATTTTATTACATTTTGCTTGTGTAAATAGAATTGCTTTCTTGACTTTTTTTCGTATAGTTTGTTTTCAGGGAATAAATGTTACTGATTTCTGTATGGTGATTTTGTTTCCTGCAACTTTGCTGAATTTGTTTATTACATCTAACAGCTTTTTGGTGAGTGGCTAGGGTTTTCTAGATATAAGATCATAACATCTTCTTTTCCAATTTGAATTTCATTTATTTCTCTCTTGATTATTCTAAGACTACCAGCACAATGTTGAATACTTATCACAAGAGGGGGAATCCTTGTCTTTTTCCTGATCTTAGAAAACTTGCAATTTTTCACCATTGAGTCTGATGTGAGCTTGGGTGCTTTTCATATATGTCCCTTATTGATGTATATTCCTTCTGCACCTAAATCATTAAGGGTTTTTATCATGAAGGGATGTTGAATTTTCTCTGATTTTTTTTTCTGCATCTATTGAAATGATTATGTTTTTTGTCCTTCATTCTGTTAATGTGGTACATCACATTTATGGATTTGTTTTTGTTGAAACATCCTTGTATTTCAGGAATAAATCCCACTTCAGTGTGATGTATTATCCTTTTAATGTGCTGTTGAATTTAGTTCTTCAGTGTTTAATTGAGAATTATTGCATCTGAATTACTGGCTTGTAATTTTCTTTTCTTTTAGTTTCTCTTCTTAATTTCTTATTGTTCTTTTCTTGTCTGACTTTTGTTATACAGTAATTCTGGCCTCATAAAATAAGTTTGGAAGTGTGTCCTACTTTTCATTTTTTTTTGGAAAAGTTTGAGAATGATTGGCAATAAGTCTTATTTAAATGTTTGGGAGTATTTACCAGTAAATACATCTAATCCTGTACTTTTGTTTGATAGGAAAATTTTTATTACTAATTCATCTCCTTACTCATTCCTGATCTGTTCAGATTTTCTATTTCTTCATGATTTACCCTTGGTAAGTTTTATGTTTATAGTTACTTATTTATGTCTTCTAGATTATCATATTTGTTGGTGTATAATTATTCATAGTATCTTATGCTCCTTTTTATTTCTGTGGCATATCCGTTGTAATGTCATCTATTTCATTTCTAAATTTATTTATATTCTTTTTCCTTTTTTCCTAGTTAATCCGTTTAAATGTTTGTCAGTTTTATCTTTTCATAACCCAACTCAGTTTTATTGATTTTTCCTATTAAGGCTCTAGTCTGTATGTCATTCATTTCTGTTCTGAGCTATATTATTTTCTTCCTTTAACTAAATTTGCACTTGGTTGTGTCTTCTTTTTCTAGTTTCTTGATGTCTAACGTAAGGTGGTTTATTTGGGATCTTTTTTTTTTCTTTGAAGTAGGCATTTATTGTTATAAACTTCCTTCTTAGAACTGCTTTGGCTGAGTCCTGTATATTTTGGTACGTTGTGTTTCCATTTCCACTTGTCTGAATATATTATTTAGTTTCCCTTTTAATTTGTTTTTAGATTCATTGGTTACTTAGAGGAATGTAGTTTAATTTCCACTTATTTGGGAATTTCTGATATTTCTCCTATTATTGATTTCTAGTTTTATACAATTGTCATGGGAAAATATACTTGATATAATTTCAATCTTCTTAAACTTATGAAGACTTGTTTTGAGCCCTCACATATGACCTATCCTGAAGAATGTTCCATGTGTGCTTTAGAAAAATATATATTCTGCTGCTATCAGATAGAAGGTTTTGTATATGCCTTTTAGGTCCATTTGACCTAAAGTATAGTTCAAGTCCATTGTTTCCTTATTGATTTCTGTCTGTGATCTGTTCCTTGTTGAAAATGGGGTATTGATATTCCCTGTTATTACTATACTATAGTCTATCTCTCTCTTCATGTTTATTAATATTTACTTTATATATTTAGGTGTTCCAAAGTTGGAGTGCATATATATTTACAATTGTTATATTCTTTTGATGAGTTGATTCCTTTATCATTACATAATATCATTATTTTTTATTATACAACCATCTTCACAACTCTCCCATGGAGCATACTAAATGGTGAGATTCTTTACAGTATCTAGGGAAAATGCAGCAGGATAGAAGTCCAAGTCAATATCCAAAATGAAATTGTCTTCAAAGACACAATCAACCTTGATGGAATCAATGACAGCCCAAGCACTTTTGCTATGACTGTTTTCATAATCAGGACATGGAATGCAACAATATGGAAATCTGAGTGATGCCAAACCAAGCTACTGTCAGCTGGTGAGTGAAAGAAGCGTAAAGGATTCATTCCACATTCATGCTCAGATGACAGAGAATGAAGAATATAGCAGTAGTGGTGGAGATGGAGGCAGTGAAGAGGACTTTTCTACAAACACCAAAGCTGTGAACAGAAAGACTATCTGGTCGTCAAACTTTCATACATCAGCTTGGCCTAACCCAAGATGATCCACAGTGGTTTGGAGAGTGATGATATGCAGTGAGATGATGTGCTAGACATCACTTCAGATGACTATGACTTCCCTCACTATCATATTGCAGATTTCCCCCTTGACCTCTAGAGCCCAAGGGTGCACTGGGCCCAGGTGTCCATATGAACTTCTCTGTCCCAGCCGAGGGGCAGTCTGTCTTAAAGACAAAAGGTGCCGAAGCCAGAATTTGAAATTGAATAAATGTTCTGAGAAGCACAATTGTTGTGACGGCATCTTTCAAATCTTTTTTTTTTTTTTTGGTGAGATGAGTGAAAATTTATGTATTTTATCTTAAAGATTCTCTGCTTATAGGTTTCCCTCAGAGAAATTCTGAGATATTTGCAATTTCTTACTAGATAAAACATCAAAATTTTGCCCTGATTCCCTCTCCTTTCTCCCCTTCCTATTTTTTTTTTTAGTTTTAATTTATTGGTTAAACTAATGGTAGCAATCTTTGAGGTATGTCAAAGAATGTACATAGGTATGTGTGTATATTATGTACGTGGTAACATATTACTGAAGGAAACATTTTAATAAAGATTTCTGCCATATTTTCAAAAACCTTCTGGCTTCAGATTCTGGGGCAAGAAGCTGTAAGAAAATTACTTGGCAGCTGTGTGCATTAATTGGAGCTCCAGTGGGGATATCTTTCATTGCTACCACTGCTATTCCTGAAATGGTCATCAGCATTCCTGTTTATGTTGACAGGAAGATTCACTGCATGGATAAAGGAAAGCAAACCTCCAACACAAGAGAAATTTGGCTATCACAGGAGGAATGACTTTGTCAGTGATTGCATCCTCAGTTATTACTGCAGTTAGTATTGCTTTTGGCATCCCAATTATGCTGGCATATGTTAATGTGACTGGCTAATTTGTCTCTCTCATGGAGGCTGCTGTGGTGTTAGCACAGTTGACCAAAAGGGAAGGAAAATTCAATCAAATGAAGATTATTTTCCAATCACAATGTCAGATGCCTGGGAAGCCCTCAAGGGTCCAAGCACTGGGGAAAGCAGCAATGAAGGCCTGACTAGTGTATTCAGCACCAGTGGAAGCCCTACAGATGGACCCTGGATTAGTCATGTCCCTTACAGTAAATCAGCTCATATTCTTATGTATGAGGTCTATTTTGCTGCTTAAGCTCATCAGATTAATATACCGCTTTCAACTTCTACTCCTAAACAGAAATTGCTTCTTAAAAGTACTGTTCTACTTTAGTGATGTACAGTTATCTAACCAACACAAGACATTCAAACAAAACATGCCTTAAAAAATTTAATAATTTTCCATTATTTTAAAAGAAATGCAACAGTGTGTCCTTAGGCTTTATTAACTTGTGCTTCACGACAGTGTAACCTTATAAAATTTGTTGAAAAAGTAAGGAAATCACTCCTCTACTACCTTCGTTGCTGAAGAAAAGCACTTCTTTCAAAATTAGAGGCTTGCATTGAAGAATAAAAATAGTAAGAAAAAATATATTTGCAATAAAATAAACAAAAATCACTGCAGTGAAGAAATTATTGTGCATGAATATTGCTCTCAAGGGGATTCATCTACACTAATCAGGCTTTTCCACCTCTCACCTATCAGAACTATCCTGCTTTCGGACTATATAAATACCCAAACAGATTTATCCACTTTGTTTTCTTCTCTATTTACTCTCTCCTTTATTTTTGACTCTCGTTTTCTCTACCTTTTGTTCATTTTATCTAATAATCAATATTTGTTCCTTTTGCTTTTTTGAAAGCGTGCTGTATAGCTTCAAATTCACAGAAACAACTAATCCAAACCATGACTTGATAGTAACTTTGTGAACTTAGACAAGTTGCTTACTTTAATAGATCTAATTTTCATCCTCTTTAAAAGTACAGATAATAATATGTACTTCGCAAGTTTGTTGTAAAATGTATAAGAGATAATGGATGAACACATGTGGCACAATGCCCTGTACAAAGTTGATGCTTAATAAATATTAATTTAGGTTCTGTGGTAAGCAAAATAATGCCTGCCCTCAAGATGTTCTTGAAAGTGTACTACACATTCTTGTAGTCCTGAAATGTGTGAATATGTTACCTTACATAGCAAAACATGATCTCGCAAAGTGATTAAGTTAAGAAGTTTGAGATGGGATATTAGAATATTTCAGTGGGCTAATGTAATCACAAGGGTCCTTAAAAATGGAAAACCCTTCTGGTTGAGGAGTGAGAGTTAATACAGGAAGTCAGGAGAGATGAAGCATAAGAAGAATTCTATACACCACTGCAGACTTTGAAGATGAAGGGGTCCATTATTCAAGGAATGTGGGTGGACTGTATAAGTTGAGAACAACCCCTGGCTGGCAGCTGGCAAGGTACACAGCCTTGCTAGTATCTTGATGTTAGGCTGGTGAGACTGTATGGTTTTAAGCTGCTAAGTGTATGGTAATTTACTTGAGTAGTCAAAAGAAATTAATAATTTTTTTCTCTTTTCGTACCTCTTTTTCTTTCATTTTGGTAGTAATTTTATATATATTTTATTTTGTAGAAGCTCACCAAAATATGGTTAAGTTTGAAAAATATAAACAATTACTTGTATTAGTATTAAAGATTTTATTAACATTCATGGCTTTGAGTAATCAAATATAAGAAGTAAATTTTAGAGAAATTCTTAAGCCTTTATAATTTTTGGATATTTCATCAGTTAAACATCATTGCACAACAACTACTTCTACACTCAATAGCCAAAATTAACAATTTATTTAACTCACCTTTCTGTAGATCATGATTTTAAAATGGACTTAGCAGGTGATCCTTTTGACTTTTTCATGACTCTCTTGTCAGCTGTGTTTCAGCTAGGCATCTGCTCCCACAGAAGTCTTCAGGATGTCGGCTCTGCTATACTGAGTTTCCTTTATATAATCAATCACCCTCCAGCAGGCTAGCCTGGGCTTGTCCTCAGGGTGGCAGAGTTTCAAGATAGAGGAAACAGGGAACGACTGTTGAGTCCTAGGTTTAGAATTTACCCAAGTTCCTTCTATTGCATTCTGTTCTGCAAATAAGTCACAAGGCCAGTTGATATGCAAGGCTCGGGGAGATAGACTATATCCCTTGACAGGGAAAACTGCAAAGTCAAATTTCAAAAGACATGGATAGAGGAATGTATGGGAAATTTTTGCTATCAGTCTACCATATGCAAATATCACGAATTTTGTTATTACATTATTAATGAGAACATATTAATTCCTTAATGTGACAGAACAAATAGGTGTGCCTTATTTATTACTGGTGAAAAGTACATTTTATCTATATGTGGATGATATTTGGAAAAGTAATCCTAGCAAATATTTGAAATAAATGATAATCTACTGTATATAAGATAGTATTATATGCTCAAATTCTTTATTATAAGTTGTTTATTCAAATTCATATATTTTCTAGTTCAAGTTTCTACGTAAATGTTAAGAAATATCTATGAAGATGTTAAACAATTGTATTTTGTAAGATGATAGAAGTTAATTGTTATTTTGTTATCCAAAGGAAATTTTAATTCTAGAAAACTAATTTTAGGAGAATCAATAATTAAACATTCTTAATATGTAACCCTGTATTATTCTGTAATTTAAACAAATAGACTATTTAACTATTAAGACAATTTCAATATAATTACCTTTTTAACATTTTCATATGGAAAGGTCAAACATATACAAAATTGGGATACTCTTATAGACATCAACATATTTATTCTTCATCCTCAACAATTATCAGTTCCTGGTCAATTTTATTTCTCATATAATGGCCACCCTTTTATTTTGAAGCAAATACCAGACATTATTATCAAACAACCAGCATCGGAAGTTCTGGACAAACATTTAAAAAAAAAAAAAAGTGAAACTGACTAGATTTAACACACCAAAAGGTTGAAAACCAAACTACAATGTAAGATTCCATCCATAATTTCCATGGACTTTGAGTAGCACGTTTATGAAGCAGATTTAAATATTAACTCAAGGGCTCTGAAAAAGAAAGTGCCTTTGGAATAACAGCTTACAAAAGTGAGAGAAGACCTTTGGTCTAAACTTGAACAGGATAATTGCCTGCCAAAATAGGACATTTAAATAAGATCCAGAATCCCCTAATATAAGATCTCAAATGTCCATACTACAATTAAAAAACATTTATTTTACTTAGAACCAGAGCATTCATAACTTGAATGAGAAACGAATCAACAAATACAATGGTAGTTGATTTTCGGTGTTAAGTTGACTGAATTAAAGATTCCCCAAATATCTGGCAAAGCATTAGTTATTCTAAATGCTTCAGGAGGCAGTGAGCACATCCATCTTCTGCTGAAAGGGGAACTCAGATAGTCTGGTTGAATGATCAGGGACTTGGAAGAAATACGAATGGAAAATTGGTGACAAAGAAATTTTGGGAAAAGGTAGACCTTTCCGAGTGGGCAAAGAACTTAAAGGTAATTGTGTCCCATGTAAATGCTCACCAAAAGGTGACCTCAGCAGAGGAAGAATTGAATAATCAAATTGATAGAATGACCTATTCTGTGAAATCCAATCAGCCTTTTTCTTTAACCAACTGCCATTGTCCAATGGGCTTATGAACAAAGTCAGCATGTTAGCTGAGATGGAGGTTATGCCTGGGCCCAACAATATAGAGTTAAAATCATCAGGGCTGACCTGGCTATGGTCATCACCTAGTGTCCAATCTATCTGCAGCAGAGACCAACACTGAGCCCCCAGTGTAGCACCATTGCCCAGAGTATTAAGCCAGCTACCTGGTGGCAGGTTGATTACATTGGACAACTTTCATCATGGAAGAGACAACGTTTTGTCCTTACTGGAATAGACACTTAATTTGGATATAAATTTACCTTCCCTCATTCAATGCTTTGACAAAACTACCACTTGTGGACTTACAGAATGCCTTATCCATCATTATAGTATTCCACACAGCATTGCTTCTTAAAAGTAATTCACTTCACAAAGAAGTGTGGTAATTGACTTATATTCATAAAATGCACTGGATTTACCATGCTCCCCATCATCCTGAAGCAGTTGTCTTGATAAGACTATAAAATGGCCTTTTGAAGGCACAGTTACAGCACCAGATAGGTGGCAATATTTTGCAGGACTGGGCAAGGTCTTCTAGAAGGCTTTACATGTTCTGAATAAAAGTTCACTATATGGTACTGTTTCCCCCAATTGCCAGAATTCACAGGTCCAGGAATCAAGGAGTGGAAATAGAATGGCACCACCATCATTCATCCTAGTAACCCACTAGAAAAAAAAAATTTTGTATTATTTCTGTGACTTTATGCTCTGCTAGCACAGAGGTCTTTGTTTCAGAGGAAGGAATGCCTCCACCATGGGAGACAACAGTAATTCTACCAAACTGGAAGTTAAAACTGCCACCTGGCCACTTTGGGCTCCTCATGCATCTAAATCAACAGGCTTACAGGGGAGTAATGGTGTTGGCTGTAGTGATTAATTCAAACTACCAAGAATAAGATTGGACTACTACTCCAGAAGAGAAGTGAGGGAGAGTATGTTTGGAAAACAGTAGATCCCTTAGGGCACCTCTTAGTATTAGTATGTCCTGTGATTAAGGTCAATGGGAAATTACAACAACCCAATTCAAGCAGGACTACGAATGGCTCCGACCCTTCAGAAATAAAGGTTTGAGCTGAGCTTGGTGGCTCATGTCTGTAATCCCAGCACATTGGAAAGCCAAGGCACAAAGATCGTTTGAGGTCAGGAATTTCAGACTAGCCTGGGTAACCTAGCAATACCCCATTTCTACAAAAATAAAAATGAAAAAAAAAAATTAACCAGGCATGGTTCTGCGTGTCTGTAGTCCCAGCTACTCAAGAGACTGAGGCAGTAGGACTGCTTGAGCCCAGAGTTTAATGCTGCAGTGAGCTATGATCTCAGCACTGCACTCTAGCTTGGGTGACAGAGTGAGACCCTGTAGAAAGAAAGAAAAAGAAAGAAAGAAAAAGAAAGAAAGAAAGAAAGAAAGAAAGAAAGAAAGAAAGAAAGAAAGAAAGAGAGGAAAGGGAAGGGAAGGGAAGGAAGAGAAAGAGAGAAAGAGAAAGAGAGGAAAGGAAAGGAAAGGAAAGGAAAGGAAAGGAAAGGAAAGGAAAGGAAAGGAAAAGAAAGGAAAGGACAGGAAGAAAGAGAAAAAATAGAGAAAAATAGAAAGAAAGTAAGTAAAGGTTCGAGTCAGTTCACCAGAAGGTAAAGAGAAAGAAGGAGGGAAAGAAGGAAGGAAGGAAGGAAGGAAGGAAGGAAGGAAGGAAGGAAGGAAGGAGAGAAAAAGAACAGAGAAAGAAAAATAAAGAAAAAAAGAGAAAAAGAGAAAGAAAGTAAACGTTTGGGTTACTTCGCCAGAAGGTAAAGAGAAGGAAGGAAGGAAGGAAGGAAGGAAGGAAGGAAGGAAGGAAGGAAGGAAGGAAGGAGAGAAAAAAATAGAGAAAGAAAAATAGAGAAAAATAGAAAGTAAGTAAAGGTTTGGATCAGTTTCCCAGAAGGTAAAGAGAAAGAAAGAAGAAATGAAGGAAAGAAGGAAAGAAGGAAGGAAGGAAGGAAGGAAGGAAGGAAGGAAGGAAAGAAAGAAAGAAAGAAAGAAAGAAAGAAAGAAAGAAAGAAAGAAAGAAAGGAAGAAAGAAAGGAAGAAAGAGGGAGGGAGGGAAGGAGAGAGGAAAAAAGGAAGAAAATAAGTAAAGGTTTGGATCAGTTCACCAGAAGGTAAAGAATCATGATTAGCTAAGGTGTTTGCTGAAAACAAACAGAATACATAATGGATATTAGAAGGTAGTTATAAATATCAGCAATGACCATATGACCACTTATAGAAACAAGGGCTGTATTTTCTTCCTATTTTGTTAGGAATATGTATGTTTGTATATATACATATATTAAGAAAATATCCTTGATAGATACATGTAGAGTTCTATCAATATTTAAATATTTCTAATTTTATGTCATGGTATTTAAGTTACAGAATATCTGGAGAAGAATAATCATCACTCAAGGACTTTATCTCCTCTTCTGGGGAATATATTAATGCATTTTTGTTGTATTCAATATATTTTCATCATGCTAGGTGAAACTACCACCTTGCTATTGCCTTTATTTCAAGATTAAGTATGGTTTAAGGAGAGGCATATGGTGCCAAGTTGACAAGGGATGAACTTGTGATGATTTATTTTGGGTGTCAACTTGGCTGGATTAAGGGATATTCACTAGCTAACAAAACATCACTTATTCTCAATGCTTCAGTAGGCATTGAGCCCATCCCATTTCTGTTGAAAGAGAATCCAGGTGGTTTGGCATTTAGTTAGAGTGGTTGTGCTGTCCCAGTTGGGTTCATGAGAGTATTTCTGCTGGAGATTGGACATTGATTGGGTGGACTGAGTGGGAAGAATTGCCCACAATGTGGGTGGGCATCATCCAATCAGCTGAGTCCCAGAAGTAACAAAGAGGTAAATTGGAACTTTCTTCCTGAGCTTGGGTGTTTTTCTTCTCATGCTCTTGGATATCAGAACTTCAGGTTCTCCAGCTTTTGGACTCTGGGATTTGTACCAGCCACCTCCCAAACTATCAGCCTCGGAGAGCTGCAACATCAGCTTCCTTGGTTCTAAGGTCTTTGGACTTGAACTGAACCACACTAAAGATTCTTTGGTTCTCCAGCTTGCAGATGGCTTATTGTGGGAATTCTCAGCCTTCATAAACAAGTGAGCCAATTCCTCTAATAAATTCCTTCTCATGTACATCTCTTGACAATAGGACCTACATATCCTTAGGTTCTACACCTACAGACACAGAGTGCTTACTGTTCTATGCTATTTAATATAAGGGACGTGGGTATCTTTGGATTTTAGAACCAATGCCCTGCAGATAGTGATGGACAACTGTATATATGTTCAGTGGGCTGTGTCTCTCTGGAAAACCCTGACTAAAACACATATCAAGCTTGTTATGACTCAGATGGTGAAATTATCTGAAAAGGATTTTAATGCAACCATCAAAACATGCTTCAACAAGCAATATCAAATTCACTTAAAGCAAATGAAAATATTTTAACAATTCAAAAAAGAAATGAAGTTATAATTATAAAAATAATCAAGTGGAAAATATAGAAGAAAAAAATGCAATAATATCAAAAGCAACAACTTACTGGATTGGCTCAATAGTAGAGTGGAGATAACAGAAGATAGAATCAATAAATTTGGACGGGGTATGTTGTCTCACACCTGTAATCCCAATACTTTGGGAGGCCAAGGCAGGTGGATTATTTGAGCCCAGGGTTTGAGACCAGCCTGGGCAAGATGGCAAAACCCTATCTCCACAAACAATGCAAAAAATTAGCCAGGCATTGTGACATGCACCTATAGTCCCAGCTACCTAAAAGGCTGAGATAGAATTACTTGAACCTGGGAAGTCGAGGCTACTGTAAGTGGTGATTGTACCACTGCACTCCAGCTTGGGCAACAAAGTAAGACAGAGTCTTACTCAACAGGCTGAGAAAAAAAAATATTCTGTCCCAAAAAAAAAAATCAGTGAATTTTCAGACAATATAATTGACATAATCAATATAATTTACCTTATCTAAATAACAGAGAGGAACTAGACTGGGGGGAAAATAGAGCCTCGGGGATCTATATGACAGTAGCAAATGATCTAACATGCATATATTCTGAGTCCTAGAAGAATTTACTGGAAAATTCTACTAAAATTTAAATAAGAACTAACATGAATTCTGCCTGATCTGTTCCAGGACATTAAAAAATAAGGAAACATTTCTAACTCATTTTATGAGGCCAGTATGCCCTGATAGAAAAATCAGACATATTTTTAAAGAGACAAACCTACATACCTATATCTCTCATAAACTTTGACAAAAAAAATCTTCAACATAAGATGAGCATGTAGGATCCAGCGTTATAGAAAAAGAAAATATACATCACAATAAAGTGGAGATTGAGAATTGCAAGGTCGGTTTAAAATTCAGTAATCAATCAGTATAATAAATGATATCAACAGGCTAAAAAAAACCTGCAGTTAGCAGCATATTTAATGGTGAAAAACTATCTTTTCTTACACTAAAAGCAAGCAAGGATGTCTGCTATTGCCACTCATATGAAACAGTACTGAAGGTTTAGCCTGAACAATAAGGCAAGAAAAGAAAAGAAAAATCATGAAGATTATATAGGAAGAAATAAAAGTATTCCTATTTAAAGATTATGTGGCTATTTATTTAGAATATTCTAAAGAGTTCTTTAAACATATGTCCTACTAACATTAATAAGTGTGTCCAAAAATATTGAAGGACACAAGACAAAATCAGTCATATTTTTAAATACTATCAATTGAAAACATGGAAAGTGGAGTTAAAAATGTGACAGTTGTAATTATTCCCCTGAAATTAAATCCTTAGGTATAAATCTAATAAAATGTCTACAGTATCTGCATAATGAACATTGAAAAATGCTAATACAATAAATAAAGGAAATGCTAAACAAATGGAAAGACATACCACGTTCATAGATTGGATGACTTAACATAGTAAAGGTGTTAATTCTCCACAAATAAATCAATAGATTTAACACAATTGTGAATAAAAGTCAGGCAAGATGTTTTGTATATAAATAGACAATTATAGACAAGCTGATTTTAAAATTTAAGTGAAAAAATCAAGCAACAAAATAAATGGAATAATTATTTTTAAATGTAGAAGAAAGTGGAAGCAATCACTCTACCTATTATTAAGATACAAACATAGTGACAATAATCCAGACAATGTGATATCAGTGGAGTCATAGACACTTAGATAAAGGCAATAAAATAGTGAATCTAATAACAGACTCACCAACTGTGTCAACTGATATCTGAGAAAGGCATAAAAAGTTTTTCAGTGGAGCAAAGATGGTCTTTTCAACAATAATGTTGAAAGACATTCATATGCAAAGAAAATAAACGATCATTGACTTGAGCCTCACATACTGTACAAAGATTATCTCAAAATGAATCATAAACCTAAATGTAAAGCTATAATTTTTTTCAAAAAATCACAAGTAGAAAGCTTTGAAACTCATGGTTACTCAGAGTTCTTAGCCATAACACCGATAGGGAAGGAAAGATATCTTTATTTTGCTTATTGATTGGTTCATGGCTGAGGCCTCTATAGCAAAAGACAGGTTAATCAGAGAAAACATAATGATGATTCAGTGAAACAGGTAAATTTTTGTATTTTTCTGCTTAGGTTTCATGAAGAGTGGACAGTTCTAGAAAAATACGATTGGAGTGAAAAAGGATGTGATCTACTAGTAACAAACTTGGGTGGGGGTATTTAACAAGGCTTCTTTGTTATTCTTCTCAGGATCTTTAGAGATAAAGATGTTCCTTTCCTCCACATACAGGGAGGACAGTTTTCTAATGAGGTTCTTATGATCTGCTTCAGGGAAGATGGGTGGCAGAAGGTCAGAGTTACTTTCCTAGGTTTTATGACCTAATTCAGAGGAAAGGGTTAAGAGAAGGTAAGAGTGGTCTTCTTGCTTCTGCTGTTTTCTCAAATGCCAAAGGTGCCATATTTTGGGGTAGTGTGTTCTGAATTCTATTAAAACAAATTAATAAAGCACAAAGAAAAATGAAATAAATTGAACTTCTGAAAAAGATCCTGACAATTGAACAACAGAATTAAAAAAGCTGATAGACTGGAAGAAAATATTTGTACAACATATATCTGACAAGGAACTTGTATCTAAAATATATGGAGAACTCTCAAAACTTAATAATAGTAATGTTAGGGTGGCAATTTTAGATCTTTCTTGCTTTCTCCAGTGGGCATTTAGTGTATAAATTTTCCTCTAAACACTGCTTTAGCTGTGTCCCAGAGATTCTGGTACATTGTCTCTTTGTTCTCATTGGTTTCAAAGAACTTATTTATTTCTGCCTTCATTTCGTTATTTACCCAGTAGTCATTCAGGAACAGGTTGTTCAGTTTCCATGTAGTTGTGCAGTTTTGAGACGGAGTCTCACTGTCTCCCAGGCTGGAGGGCAGTGGCATGATCTCAGCTCACTGCAAGCTCTGCCTCCTGGGTTCACACCATTTTCCTGCCTCAGCCTCCCGAGTAGCTGGGACTACAGGCGCCCGCCACCATGCCCAGTTAATTTTTTGTATTTTTAGTAGAGATGGGGTTTCACTGTGTTAGCCAGGATTGTTTCGATCTCCTGACCTCGTGATCTGACCACCTCGGCCTCCCAAAGTGCTGGGGTTAGAGGCATGAGCCACCACACTTGGCCTTGAGTGAGTTTCTTAATCCTGAGTTCTAATTTGACTACACTATGGTCTGAGAGACTGTTTGTTATGATTTCCATTATTTTGCATTTGCTGAGGAGTGTTTTACTTCCAATTATGTGGTCAATTTTAGAATAAGTGCAGTGTGGTGCTGAGAAGAATGTATATTCTGTTTATTTGGGGTGGAGTGGTATGTAGATGACTATTAGGTCCACTTGGTCCAGAGCTGAGTTCAAGTCCTGAATATCCTTGTTAATTTTCTGTCTTGTTGATCTGTCTAATATTGACAGTGGGGTGTTAAAGTCTCCCACTATTATTGTGTGGGAGTCTAAGTCTCTTTGTAGGTCTCTAAGAACTTGCTTTATGAATCTGGGTGTTCCTGCATTGGGTGCATACATATCATATATATTTAGGATAGTTAGCCCTTCTTGTTGCATTGATCCCTTTATCATTATGTGAGGGCTTTCTTTGTCTTTTTTTGATCTTTGCTGTTTTAAAGTCTGTTTTATCAGAGACTAGGATCGCAAACCCTGTATTTTTTTTTCTTTCCATTTGCTTGGTAAATATTCCTCCATCCCTTTATTTTGAGCCTATGTGTGTCTTTGCACGTGAGATGGGTCTCCTGAACACAGCACACTGAATGGTCTTGACCCTTTCTCCAGTTTGCCAGTCTGTGTCTTTTAATTGGGGCATTTAGCCTGTTTACATTTAAGGATAATACTGTTAAGTATGAATTTGATCCTATCATTATGATGCTAGCTGGTTATTTTGTCCGTTAGTTGATGCAGTTTCTTCACAGTGTCAATGGCCTTTACAATTTGGTATGTTTTTGCAGTGGCTGGTATTGGTTTTTCCTTTCCATATTTAGTGCTTCCTTCAGGAGCTCCTGTAAAGTAGGCCTAGTGGTGACAAAAATCTCTCAGCATTTGCTTGTCTATAAAGGATTTTATTTCTCTATCACTTATGAAACTTACTTTGGCTGGACATGAAATTCTGGGTTGAAAATTCTTTTCTTTAAGAATGTTGTATATTGGCCCCCACTCTCTTCTGGCTAGTAGGGTTTCTGTAGAGAGCTCCACTGTTAATCTGATGGGCTTCCCTTTGTGGGTAACCTGGCCTTTCCCTCTGGCTGCCCCTAACATTTTTTTCCTTCATTTCAACCTTGGTGAATCTGACTCTTATGTGTCTTGGGGTTGTTCTTCTCGAGGAGTATCTTTGTGGTGTTCTCTGTATTTCCTGAATTTGAATGTTGGCTTGTCTTGCTAGGTTGGGGAAGTTCTCCTGGATAATATCCTGAAGAGTGTTTTCAACTTGGTTCCATTCTCCCCATCACTTTCTGGTACACCAATCAAATGTAGGTTTGGTCTTTTTACATAGTCCCATATTTCTTGGAGGCTTTGTTTGTTCCCTTTCATTCTTTTTTCTCTAATCTTGTCTTCATGCTTTATTTCATTAAGTTGATCTTCTATCTGTGATATCCTTTCTTCTGCTTGATTGATTCAGCTATTGATATTTGTGTATGCTTCACAAAGTTCTCATGCTGTTTTTTTCAGCTCCATCAGGTCATTTATGTTCTTCTCTAAACTGGTTATTCTAGTTAGCAATTCCTCTAACTTTTCTCAAGGTTCTTAGCTTCCTTGCATTGGGTTAGAACATGCTCTTTAGCTCAGAGGAGTTTGTTATTACCCACCTTCTGAAGCCTACTTCTGTCAATTCATCAAACTCATTCTCCATCCAGTTTTGTTCCCTTGCTAACAAGGAGCTGTGATCCTTTGGAAGAGAAGAGGTGTTCTGGTCTGGAGAATTTTCAGCCTCTTTGCACTGGTTTTTCCTCATCTTCCTGGATATATCTACCTTTGGTCTTTGATGTTGGTGACCTTCGGATGGGGTTTCTGTGTGGACGTCTCTTTTGTTGATGTTGATGCTATTCCTTTCTGTTTGTTAGTTTTCCTTCTAACAGTCAGGCCTCTCTGCTGCAGGTCTGCTGCAGTTTTTTGGAGGTCCACTCCAGACGCTATTTTCCTGGGTATCACCAGGGGAGGCTGCAGAACAGCAAAGATTGCTTCCTGTTCCTTCCCCTGGAAGCTTCATCCCAGAGAGGTACCCACTAGATGCTAGCTGGAGCTCTCCTGTATGAGATGTCTGTAGAACCCTGCTGGGAGGTGTCTCCCAGTTAGGAGGCATGGGGGTCAGGGACCCACTTGAGGAGGCAGTCTATCCCTTAGCAGAGATCGAGCACGGTGCTGGGAGACCTGCTGCTCTCTAAAGAGCCAGCAGGCAGGAAGATTTAAGTCTGCTGAAGCTGCACCCACAGCCGTGCCTCCCCCAGGTGCTCTCTCTCATGGAGATGGAAGTTTTATCTATAAGCCCCTGACTGGGATCCTGCCTTTCTTTCAGAGATGCCCTGCCCAGAGAGGAGGAATCTAGAGAGGCAGTCTGGCTACAGAGGCTTTGCGAGCTGTGGTGGGCTCTGCCCAATTCAAACTTCCTGGCAGCTTGGTTTACACTGTGAAGGGAAAACTGACTACTCAAGCCTCAGTAATGATGAATGCCCCTCCACCCACCAAGCTCAAGTGTCCCAGGTCGACTTCAGACTGCTGTGCTGGCAGCAAGAATTTCAAGCCAGTGGATCTTAGCTTGCTGGGCTCCATGGGAGTGGGATCCGCTGAGCTAGACCACTGGGGTCCTTGGCTTCAGCCCCCTTTCCAGGGTAGCGAATGGTTCTGTATTGCTGGCATTCCAGGTGCCACTGGGGTATGCTGAAGGAGATAGAGGTATGAAAAACCCTTCGAAAAAATCAATGAATCCAGGAGGTGGTTTTTTGAAAAGATTAACAAAATAGATAGACTGCTAACCAGATTAATAAGAAAAGAGAGAAGAATCAAATAGACAAAAATGATGATTAAAATATGATAAAGGGGATATCACCACTGATCCCACAGGAATACAAACTACCATCAGAGAATACTATAAAAACCTCCTTGCAAATAAATTAGAAAATCTCGAAGAAATGGCTAAATTCCTGGACACATACACCCTCCCAAGACTAAGCCAGGAAGAAGTTGAATCCCTCAATAGATCAATAACAAGTTCTGAAAATGAGGCAGTAATTAATAGTCTACCAGCCAAGAAAAGCCCAGGACTGGATGGATTCACAGCCGAATTCTACCAAAGCTACAAAAGGGAGCTGGTACCATTCCTTCTGCAACTATTCAAAACAATAGAAAAAGAGGGAATCCTCCCTAACTAATTTTATGAGGCCAGCATCATCCTGATACCAAAACCTGGCAGAGACACACACAAAAAAATTTCAGGCCAATATCCCTAATGAATATCCATGTGAAAATCCTCAATAAAATACTGGCAGACTGAATCCAGCAGCACATCAAAAAGCTTATCCACCACAACCAAGTTGGCTTCATCCCTGGGATGCAAGGCTGTTTCAACATATGCCAATCAACAAACATAATCCATCACATAAACAGAAGCAATGACAAAAATCACACGATTATCTCAATAGATGCAGAAAAGGCCTTGGATAAAATTCAACACTCCTTCATGCTAAAAACTCTCAATAAACTAGGTATTGATGGAATGTATCTCAAAATAATAAGAGCTATTTATGATGAAACCAAAGCCAATATCATACTGAATGGGCAAAAGCTAAAAGCATTCCCTTTGAAAACTGGCACAAGACAAGGATGCCCTCTCTCACCACTCCTATTCAACAGATTATTGGAAGTTCTGGCCAGAGCAATCAGGCAAGAGAAAGAAAGAAAGGGTATTCACATGGGAAGAGAGGAAGTCAAATTGTCTCTGTTTGCAGATGACATGATTGTGTATTTAGAAAACCCCATTGTCTCAGCCCAAATTCTCCTTAAGCTGATAAGCAACTTCAGCAACGTCTCAGGATACAAAATCAATGTGCAAAAATCACAAACATTCCTATATACCACTCATAGACAAACAGAGAGCCAAATCGTGAATGAACTTCCACTCACAATTGCTACAAAGAAAATAAAATACCTAGGAATACAATTTACAAGGGATGTGAAGGACCTCTTGAAGGAGAACTAAAAACCACTGCTCAATGAAATGAGAGAGGACACAAACAAATGGAAAAACATTCCATGCTCATGCATAGGGAGAATAAATATTGTGAAAATGCCCATAGTGCCCAAGGTAATTTATAGATTCAATGCTATCCTCATCAAGCTACCATTGACTTTCTTCACAGAATTAGAAAAAAACTACTTTAAATTTCATATGGAACCAGAAAAGAGCCTGTATAGCCAAGACAATCCTAAGCAAAATGAACAAAGTTGGAGGCATCATGCTACCTGACTTCAAACTATACTACAAAGCTATGGTAACCAAAACAGCATGCTACTGGTACCAAAACAGATATATAGACCAATGGAATAGAACAGAGGCCTCAGAAATAACCCCACACATATACAACAATCTGATCTTTGACAAACCAGACAAAAACAAGCAATGGAGAAAGGATTCCCTATTTAATAAATGGTGTTGGGAAAACTGGCTAGCCATATGCAGAAAACTGAAACTGGACTCCTTGCTTACACCTTATACAAAAATTAACTCAAGGTGGAATAAAGACTTAAATGTCAGACCAAAAACCATAAAAACCCTAGAAGAACACCTATGCTATACCATACAGGCATAGGCATGGGCATAGACTTTACCACTAAAACACCAAAAGCAATGGCAACAAAAGCCAAAATTGACAAATGGGATATAATTAAACTAAAGAGCTTCTGTACAGCAAAAGAAACTATCATCAGAATGAACAGGCAACCTACAGAATGGGAGAAAATATTTGCAATCTATTCATCTGACAAAGGGCTAATATCTAGAATCTACAAAGAACTTAAACAAATTTACAAGAGAAAAACAAACAACCCCATCAAAAAGTGGGCCAAGGATATGAACAGATACTTCTCAAAAGAAGACATTTATGCAGCCAACAAACATATGAAAAAAAGCTCATCATTACTGGTCATTAGAGAAATGCAAATCAAAACCACAATGAGATACCATCTCATGCCAGTTAGAATGGTAATCATTATAAAGTCAGGAAACAACAGATGCTGGAGAGGATGTGGACAAATAGGAAATCTTTTATACTGTTGTTGGGAGTCTAAATTAGTTCAACCATTGTGGAAGACAGTGTGGCGATTCCTCAAGGATCTAGAACCAGAAATACCATTTGACCCAGCCATCCCATTACTGGGTATATACCCAAAGGATCATAAATCATTCTACTCTAAAGACACATGCACATACATGTTTATTGCAGCACTGTTCACAATAGCAAAGACTTAGAACCAACCCAAATGCCCATCAGTGATATACTGGATAAAGAAAATGTGGCACATATACGACATGGAATACTATGCAGCCATAACAAAGGATGAGTTTATGTCCTTTGCAGGGACGTGGATGGAGCTGGAAACCATCAGTCTCAGCAAACTAACATAGGAACAGAAAACCAAACACTGAATGTTCTCACTCATAATTGGGAGTTGAGCATTGAGAACACATGGACACAGGGAGGGGAACATCACACACCAGGGCCTGTCTAGGGGTGGGGGACTAGGGGAGGGATAGCATTAGGAGAAATATCTAATGTAGATGATGAGTTGATGGGTGCAGCAAACCACCATGGCATGTGTATATCTATGTAACAAACCTGCACATTCTGCACATGTATCCCAGAACTTAAAGTATAACAAAAAAAAAGTTAATAATAAAAACAAAACAATCAGCAAATGAGCAAAAGACATAAATACATTTCACCCAAGAGAATATACATATGTCACATTGATTATGTGTAAACATGTTCAAAACCATTAGCCATCGGGGAAATGGAAATTAAAACCACATTGAGCTATCACTATGCTCCTATTAGGATGCCGAAAATAAAATACAATGACCATCTCAAATGTGTGTGAGGGTGCAGAGAAACTGGATCATTTATACATTGCTGGTAGGAATGTATAATGTTACTCACAGTTTGTTTGAAAACATTTTTACAGTAACCTTTAAAGCTAAATGTGGAACTTCCATATGACCCAACAACTACACTCTTGGCAATTTTTCACAAATAAATTAAAATTTATATTTACACAAAAACCTACATGGGAATATTTAAAGCATCTTTATTCATAAAAATCAAAAGCTGCAAAAGAATCCATATTTCATTCAATGGGTAAATAATTAAATAAGTTGTGGTGCATCCATACCATGAAATACTACCCAGCAATACAAAGAAATGAACTGTTTGTATATACAACTTGAATGAATCTTTAGGGAATTATGCTGAGGGAATACCTTAATCCAAAAGGCTTACATAAGGTATTAATTAATATATATGTAGATACTTTAAATTACAAAATCATAAAGGTAGGTTTTTCATTGCCTAATATTAAAAAGAGGGGAAGAAGGGAGGTGGCTGTTATTATAAAAGGGTGGGCTGAGTATGGTGTCTCACACCTATAATCCCAGCACTTTTGGAGATTGAGATGGAAGGATTTCTTGGGCCCAGAGGTTGAGGCTGCAGTGAGCCGTAATAGCACCACTGCACTCCAGCCTGAGAGACAGCGTGAGATCCTGACTCTAAATAAATAATTAAATAACTACAAATACAATAAAAGAGCAGTAGCAAGGATCCTTGAGGTGTTGAAACACTTCTTTATCTGGATTGTGGTTGTAGTCATACAAATCTACACATATGCTAAAATTACATGAACTAAATACACACCCATACACACAAATGCATATAAAACTGATGGCATCTGAATAAGGCTGGTGATTGTACCAATTTCAATTTCCTGGATTTAATAATTTACTACAGTTATTTATAATGCTAACATTCAGCGAAACTTAAGGATACATGGAAACTTTACTGTTTTAGCAACTTCCTATGCATCTATAATTATTTCAAGACAAAAAGTTAAAAAAAGGAAGGAATCTTTAAAAAATCATAACACAATGCCATTATCACACCTAAAAACTAACAATATTTCCTTTTCATTAATTATCTAGTCAGTGTTCAAATTTCCACTGTCCCCAAAATTTCTCTCTTTTTTTTTTTTTTTTTTTTTTTTTTCAGATGGAGTCTCACTCTGTCACCCTGGCTGGAGTGCAGTGGCGCGATCTTGGCTTACTGCAAGCTCTGCCTCCTGAGTTCACGCCATTCTCCTGCCTCAGCCTCCCAAGTAGCTGGGACTACAGGCACCCACCACCATGCTTGGCTAATTTTTTTGTATTTTTAGTAGAGACGGGGTTTCACCGTGTTAGCCAGGATGGTCTCGATCTCCTGACCTCATGATCTGCCTGCCTCAGCCTCCCAAAGTGCTGGGATTACAGGCGTGAGCCACCACGCCCAGCCAATTTCTCTCTCTCTTCCTCACCACATACAGACACACACACACACACACGCATGCACACACACACACTTCAGTGAATGTATTTTGAGTAATGGTCAAAATATCAAAATAATGTAGTTGCAATGCATATGTCTCTTAAGCCTCTTTTAATCCACAGGTTCTCCATCAATATTTTTTCATGACACTTTGTAAAAAATATAGATCACCAGCCTGGGCAACATAGTGAGACACTGTTTCTACAAAAAATTAAAAAATTAGCTGGGTGTGGTGGTGCACACCTGTAGTCCCAGCTACTCAGGAAGCTGAAGTGGGAAGATTGCTTGAGTACAGGAGTTCAAGTTTGCAGGGAGCCAAGATTCTGCCATTGCATTACAGCCTGGTTGACAGAGCAAGACCCCATCTCAAAAAAAAAAAAAATAAAAGAATATATATTATGTTTGTGGTATAGATTCCCATGGTCTGATTACATCTCTGTGGTGGTGTTTATTATGTTCCTCTGTC
Source organism: Homo sapiens (assembly GCF_000001405.40). Taxonomy (NCBI): domain Eukaryota; kingdom Metazoa; phylum Chordata; class Mammalia; order Primates; family Hominidae; genus Homo; species Homo sapiens. The sequence continues at coordinate 3,759,887 of NC_000024.10, read as the reverse complement.
CTTTAGTTCCTGTAAATGGGTAGTTGGACCCAGAGGCTTGATCAGATTTAAAAATTTTGATTTGGGGTAGGCAGGGGAGGGGAGGGAAAAAAATTACCCCATAGATTTTATTGTCATATAAAGGCACTGGTGTCTTGTTAGTTGTTCGTTTTTTTTTCTTTCTTTCTTTCTTCCTTTCTTTTCTTTTCTTTTCCTTTTCCTTTTCTTTTCTTCTTCTCTTTTCTTTTCCTTTCTTTCTTTTCTTTCTTTCTTTCTTTCTCTCTCTCTCTTTCCCTTCCTTCCTTCCTTTTTCTTTTTTCTTTTTGAGACAAGGTCTCACTCTGTCACTCAAGCTAGAGGGCAAAGGTGTGATCACAGCTCACTGCCGCCTCAACCTCCTGGGCTCAAGCAATCCTTCCACCTCAGCCTCCCCAGTAGTTGGGATGACATGCATGTGCCACTACTCCTGGCTAATTTTTAATTTTTTGTATAGACAAGATCTCACTACGCTACCCAAGCTAGTCTTGAACTCCTGGGCTCAAGAGATCCTCCTGCCTTGACCTCCCAAAGTGCTGAAATTACAGGCATGAGCCATTGTGACAAGCCTGATTAGTTGCCTTTCTTTCTATGATATTAGCACACATTGGCCCATGACTAAATCTATTAATTCACCAGCAGATGCAAATTCAATTTGATCTTAAGATTTGTGATTAACAACAATCCATGCATTCTGTAAAGACATTTGCTTATACAAACTCAATATTTGTGCCAAAATATATCCATTGCATGCCTAATTCTCTTTTAGATAATCACCTGAGTACAATAACTGTGTGCCTAATTGCCAATTACCTAATTATCTACAATAGGCTCTTTTAATGTGGAGAATTGAGAGTGGAAAATTGGAGGTCAATACCTAAAAAGTTTGGCAATATTTCTAATCACCATAATTAGGAATCAACAACACACATTGAAAACATCCAGAAATTTTCTGTGTCCTTTCAGGACTTTACTTTTTTAGTGAGATACTTTACATGTAATATAAAAGGGAGGAATGGAAATGTAATATAGTGGTATGTTGATTAAACTATCACATCAAGGATTCAGTGCCTAGTCTTAGAATTGGAAAAGGCTTTCTTCTGTTTGTTCCTTAGGATGACAGTTACAGTGGAGAAGAAGGTAGTAGAAAGTTTTATTTAGAGCCACTTTTATTCTTATTTCCTGCAGTTAATTTTTTAGCATTATTAATAAATAAAAAGAAATTTTGTGTTTAAAAAATTTGAAATTTGGTGAATGAATATGACATTACCAATAGTTTGACAAAAGGCAGAAACTGTGTTTAACTGCAGTTTTTTAATTAATAACCTGTAGAAGGATAATAAAAGGAAATAGATTCCTTTTATGTATATGTATGTATATAAAATACCTAAACTCAAGAGCAAGACAATGATAAAGAAGCAATTCGTAGGGAAAATAATAACACCATTCTTAAATATTTCAAGTGCCTAAGGATGTCAGGAAAAAGCTTTCAAAGTCTGATGAATTCTTCAATATTTTCTCCTGCTGCTCTTGTATTCACATTTTCCATTTAAGAGAATGCAAGGTCATTGTTTTGCCTTAAGCACTCCTGTTATTCTTACCTTCATTGCCTTTTCACTTGGAAATCTCTAGGATTGAAATTCCCTTCATTTTTCCTCTGCTAAGAAAATACCCATTCTGTCTTCAAAATTCAAATAAGGTTCCAAATCCTATGTAAAACCTTCCTGTGGCTCCCCTTTCCCATCACAATTAATTACCTTTCTCTCATTTCTGTATCTTGAAAATTAGTAAATTATATGAATCACAGTGCACTTTATTTATTTGTTGCTTGCCTGGCGTTCCTTAATTGTTGCTTGCCTGGTGTTCCTTAAAGAATGTGAATCTCTGAAGGGCAGCAAATTTTTTTTAGTCCTGTTTGTATCCACAGTCTGTAGTGTTGTGTTAGCACAGAAAGACATTTACTGGAATCTTGTTTAGCTGATCCAAAGCTGAACGTAGACTAAAGAAGGTAAACAAGTACATGAAATTGATGATATTATAGGCAGGAGTAATATGAAATTGAAGAAAATATGTCATATGTAACTTTGAAATTAAATAGAACAGCAGAACAGAGAGAGGCAAATGGTCATAACAGATTTTATTGTGATGGCAAAAAATCTTTAAAAAATATGTACTATTTTGTAAATATTTTTACTTTTTGGGAAATAGAGTGTTTCATTTTTATAACTTAATAATAGAAGACACATGCCTGATTTTCATGCGTTACTCTCTTTCACTTATTCAGCATGAAGTAAAATTTAAGGATTCTAGCCACCTGTCAAACAAAGCATTAACATTAAATTGACAGTTCTGTTAGATCTGTGTGTACTGTCTGTCAGTACAGACAGGAAGATTTTTAAGGCAAGTCTTTAGCTTAAACATGTAGATTACAAACATTCCTGTTTAGATGTAAACTAGAAAAACGGCTGTTAGAGATGAGTGAAAATCGATACAGAGGCAATCTCAAGGCATATTAGCTTACTTATCTCAGACCATTCCTGTCTCCAGTCGTCTCACAATTATAAAACCAATGCTACATATCATCATGGAGTTTTGCACTCAGTTGTGTGGATATTTATGCAACTTGAATCTAATTAACAGTTCATCACACCTCATGAGTTGTGCCATTGCAAATATAGCTCCTAACTGATAAGGTTGTATTTTGTTTCCAAAGTTACACAGTCATTGAAATACTACTTCTCAACTACTATCATTTTTTCTTAGTGATTTTCAAATTTCTACCCCTATTATTTTCAGAAAAATTAATTTGTATTTTAAAGATCAATTATAATTACTAATGAAAACAATCTCAGAAAAAAATTGCAGTTTAAATGTAATAAGCTTGAGTTTAGTATTTTCATGTAGTAAAAAGAAATAGTTGATAATAATGACAGAAGAAAAAAGTACATAATGAATAAAATGATACAGATAGACATGGAACTAATCACTGATAATTCTGGTTCCTGTTTTTATAACTGCATGGAAAGAACCACAAGTCATTTCACTGATTGCATTTAGTAACATTTAATACTTTATGAAGGTCACAGAGCCCAGTAAATAAGTGAAAATGAATGATCTTATACAAGAGGCACTGGAAGTTCATATTGTGATCTGTTCAACATTGTAGTCAATAAAATGATCGGTATTATAATTTAGTGTAGTACTTTATTTTATTATTTGACCTAAGACTAGAATTAAGATACTGTTTAGAAACCTTAGCTTTTTCATCTTTGAAAGATGAGTTTTAATTTTCCTTTTCTATTGTGTTTTCTTCTTTTCCTTTTAACTGCTGGAGCAGCTAACTAATCTTACAATAATACTTTGAAAAGAATCCTTATGCAAGGGATAACACCAAAAAATTTCAGTGATAAAACAATTTCTAAATCCTAAAAAATAGTGACAAAATTGCTTCCTAGTCACAAGAGTAACATGTGAGACTCAAGTGACTAATTTGTGACTATTATCACATGCAAAATTAGTTGGATTATATTGCCAAATATATTTCTGGATACCTAATACGGCCCTTGTATGGGTAAATACAAAATAAAAGGCAGGTTCACATAAATTAGTCAATAAATATCTTTCGAACTGCTAATGATTTTCATGCCTTAGTTTACATGCTGAGGACTTAGCTGTTAATGAAATAGAGAGAGAGAGTAAGGGAGACCGTGCCGTATATACACATGAACAAATAAATAAAAAAAAATTCAGTCAATGATTAATTCAATGAAAAATATCATTTAATAAAGTAAAAGCATGACACTATTTTAAATATAGTAGCCATGAAAAGTGATGGCTACTGATTAAATATAGTAGCTGATGACCTACTGATTAAATATAGTAGCCATGGAAAATGATGGCTATTTAACTGATTTAAATATGGTATCTATGGAAAGTGTATCTGAGAAGGAGATATTTAATTGAGACTTGAATCATGAAAAGGAAGCAGCCAAGCAAAGATCTAGGATAAGGCTGTTCCAAGAAGGCATAGTAATACATTACTTGATATGAGATTAGACTTGGAGTATACAAGGGGCAGAAAAAGCCCAGTGAGGCTGAATATAGTGGTAGGTGGCAAGAATGGAAGGAGGTGAAGAAGGGGCGATAGTCAGCGGGTTTTAAAGGCCATGATAAGTTGTTTTGGTTAATATTATTTGTACTATGGGAAGCCACTAAAGTTTAAGCAAGAGTGTGATGCAATTTTATATACTCTTAAAAACGCTTATTTTGCTTATTGTTTTGAACAAATTCTGACTAGAATAAAGGCAGAGAGACAAGTTAGGAATTTTGTTTGTTTGTTTCCCATCATAATCCAGACAAGATAAGATGGTGTTTTTAACAAAGTAGTAATAGAATTTCTTTAATTACTTTTGTGGGTACATAGTAGCTATATATATATTTATGGGGTACATGAGAGGTTTTGATACAGGCATGCAATGTGAAATAAACACATCATGGAGAATGGGGTGTCCATCTCCTCAATCATTTATCATTTGAGTTGCAAACAATCCAATTTCACTCTTTTAGTTATTTTAAAATGTACAATTAAGTTATTATTGACTATAGTCATGCTGTGGTACTATCAAATAGTAGGTCTTATTCATTTTTCTAACTAGTTTTTGTACCCATTAACCATCCCTACTTCCCCCTCAACGTCCCACTCAAGTAGTAATAGTCGAATTTTAAAGAAATGTTTAGATTTTTTAGTTTCTTAGAGGTACAGTCTACAAAATGTGTAAATAGAATGGGCTTGAATATCAGGAAAGAGAGGAATCAAAGATATTTCTTGGTTCTGGGCCTGAACAAATAGGTACTATTTATTGAAATGGGGAAGCGTAGGAAGAAGCAGATTGGGTCAGAATAGTATATGTATGCACACACACACACACACACACACACACACACACAAACACATATATAAGTTGGAAATCATTATTTGAGATCCCATTTGAAATATTTAGTGGGTGGTTGAATACTGATGTTAAAACTATGGCACTAGATAAAATTACTTAGACAAAACTATACATTGAAAACAAAAGAAAACTGAAGAAAGCTCATTTGAATTCAACATTTAAATAGCAGGAGATATAGGAGAAGAATAAAACATTACAAAAGCCTAGAGAACAAACATGTTTCTATAATGAGAGAATGTTCAGTTGTATCCAAAGAGAATAAGCAGTGATTTAAAGAAAAAAGTACAATATACATATTAATTCAGTAGCTCATTTTATACAAAATTTTCATGAAACCTTATTGTTTTACTCTTTTACTATTCTTCACATTATGCTGATCTGTTCATTTATGGAGATATAGGTTGCTTAAAAGTATATCTAGTAGGGAAATACTCCCTCCTCTTTTTCCATTTCTTATTCAAAGTTACCCTTTTCTAGAAACATATACTCTTATAATTTCTATGATTCAGTGATTCATGCTTTAGTGTTTATTATCATAAAGAAATGGCACTTTCTAAATCATGGCAATGACAAAGTAAAAAAAAATAGGTGAATTGAAACAGGCTGTTTTTGACATGAATGGGCAGAGTACAAAGTCAGAGCAAAAATCCAATGAAAGCAGACCAAAGGGTTAAAGTAAGTAGAATGAACTAATTAAGAGACACTAAAGAATGGCATTTTGAATTGCAGCATGTTTAAATAATAAAACAATTATAAGAAGTGAACATCATTGAAGAGACTTCTAATAATGGCTGAAGGAAGCCCTATCAATTAAACATAAAAGTAAAATTAAAAGAAAAACCACAAAAATAGTTCAAAGGGAAATAGAATTTATAAAACACAGATGGCAGACTAAATTATTAAGAATGACTTTGACAAGTAGCATACTATGCACCTTTGTCATATTGTGAAATATTCACTTTGTTAATCCAATTTTGTGAAGTAACAGAAATCCTTTTCATTTTGCCTCACCTTCTTAATTACAATAATAAAAGTAAAAGTGCTTTCATGAGGAAAAAACTAAGAGCAATTAGGCAAGACTTGGTGTTAGTAAAATTCTAATTAATGGAATGCTGTAATAATCACTATGGTTGTAATAAATTACTTATCACAAAGGGGAAAATGACTCATTATTTCAACTTTCTGGAAATCAAATGTACAGTTTATATTAAGTGAAAGACTTTTGCTGTTGAGCTACCATGGGGTTGCTTTGCAAATGCAAACTAATTCGAAATCTATTATAAAAGTATATAAAAAATGAGTAAATTATTATTTAACTAATAAAACAGACAAACCACCAGAATTCTGAAATAAAAAATAGGTTACAAAACCTTTGGTTCAATAATCTGAAGATGCTAATGTCTGTGTATTGTGTTTGTCACAGATAACAGTTTTTGGTTACTGGATGCTCTGATCTATTATCCTTATTCTAAAAACTGTCAGTGGATTTTGTAAGCAAACAAGGTATATGTTTATTATGGATCCATATTCTAAACTCAATGTATTTGTGAAATATCATTTTTTCTTCATCTATCACCTTTTAACTTTCCCTCTGCTCCAGAAAAATAAAATAAAATTATTAGAAATACATAGTGTTTACTGTCTGGGACATACTGGAAGTACAACTATCTGTGATGTATTTTGCATCCTGTAATTTTTGCATTCTGAGCAGATTGGAAAGGGAGCTTTCTTTACTTCTATTCTGACTGATAGATATTTTGAAAAATATGTTTATTTTGTTTCTTCCTCCTTATTTAAACATTTTCTTCAGACAATAATCCCATATCTTTGGAACAACATGACCTATTGCTTATATTTACCAGGCTAAAACTACAAACATAATACTTGCATTATTGTTTTTCCACTCTGGTTCGTTTTAGTTTCTTTGCCTATTTCCTTTAAATATCCAATTTAACAAATTTTACTTAATTTTCAACATTGGTTAGACTCCCTATGGACAGCCATTTATGTATTTGTTGATGAAAAGAGTCAAACTCTGTAAAATATTTGAAGAGATTTATTGTGAGCCAAATATGAGTGACCATGGCCCGTGACACAGCCCTCAGGAGGCCCTGAGAACATGTGCCCAAGGTGGTCGGGGCACAGCTTGGTTTTGTATATTTTAGGGAGGCATAAGACATTAATCAAATACATTTAAGAAATGCATTGGTTTGGTTTAGAAAGGCATGACAACTGAAATCAGGGGCTTCCAGGCTATAGGTAAATTTAAACATTTTCTGGTTGACAATCGGTTGAGTTTATCTGAAGAACTGGGATCAATAGAAAGGAAATGTTCAGGTTAGCATAAAGGATTGTGGAGATCAAGTTTTATTGTGCAGAGGAAGCTCTCAGATAGCAGAGTTTAGAGAAAGCAGGTTGTAAAATATTTCTTATTGGACCTAAAATGGTGCCTAGGTCTTAGTTGATTATCTCCTGGATCTGGAAAGGAAGGAAGGAAAACAAAGGGGAAAGGGGATTTTCTATAGAATGTGGATTTTTCCCACAAGATAATTTGCAGGGCAATTTCAAGGTATGGCAAGGAAATATATTTTGGAGTGAAATATTTTGATTTTTTTCCTTGTCTCATAATATTATGCCAGAGTCAGATTGGAAAGTAAGTCACAATATACAGGGTCAAATAAAACCCATCTGATGAGAATTTATGGTTTATGGTTTATAGGGCATGACTCCCTAGACCCCTTAAATAGGAATTTGGGCAAGATTAAAAAAAAAACAACAGAGTTTAGTCCTCATATTCATGAACAGTGAGATACAGAAATGCTGTATGCAATACAAAGAGAAGGTAAGAATCTGTTCAAATTTTATCTACCCATGAAAGTGAAGCAAGAATTGAGAAAGGTAACTGGTTACTTTATAAAAAGAAAAAATCACAATAATGTTGACTATCACTCAATTCAATATCAGCTTTTCACTTGCTGGTGAATAACAACGACAAAAACTGAGAGGAAATTATTCATGAGCAATTAGAATTGAATTAAATGATTAATGGAATGCCTTTATTTGAATATTTTGGTTTGCCACTAAAGACACTCAGCAATATATCTTCAGGCTTCACTAACCCTTTATAAAAACAATAGCAAAATCTCTCTGATTCATGCAACTCCTTAATCTATTCACTGCTTCTCAAAAGATTACGTATTTTATTAACTCATTGTTCTCAAGCTATTTTCTTCTTTATTGTTGTTTTTAATGTTTGAAAAGTATACATTTCCATCATGGGAGAAAGTAATTGCATTGGATAATCCCATCAATTATTTCTTGCCATGTCCACATTCCTTGTTTTTTATATTTGTATAGATTTATGCAGTACAAGTGCAATTTTGTTACATGGGTATATTGCACAGTGGTGACGCCTGAGCTTTTGGTGTCTCCATCACTGGAATAATGTACATTACATCCATTAAGTGATTTTTTCACCCCTAAACCACCTCTCACCCTCCCACCATTCTAAGGATCAAGTTTCTATCATTCCACACTCTATGTTCATGTGCACACATTGTTTAACTCCCATCGCTTTTTTTTATGGAAATCCCACAGTCTTAAGCCCCTGTTGCTTGTGTTAAGGAAAAGGGGTCCCAATCCAGGCCCCAAGAGAGGGTTTTTGGATTTCCTGCAAGAAACAATTCAGGGAGAGTCCATAGAGTAAAGTAAAAGCAAGTTTATTAGGGAAGTAAAAAAAATAATGAATGGCTACTCTACAGACAGAACAGCTCTGAGGGCTAATGTTTGCCCATTTTTATGGTTATTTTTTGATTATATTTTAAACAAGTGTTGGATTATTCCTATCTCCCCTTTTAGACCATACAGGGTAACTTCCTGACATTGCCATGGTATTTGTAAACTGTTATGGCACTGGTGGGAGTGTAGCAGAGGACGACCAGAGGTAACTCTCCTGGCCATCTTGGTTTTTTTGTTTTAGCCAGCTACTTTACTGCAATGTTTTATCAGCATGGTCTTTATGACCTGTATCTTGTGCTGACCTCCTATTTCATCCTGTGACTTACAATGCCTTAACTGTCTGGGAATGCAGCCCAGTAGGTCTTAGCCTCATTTTACCCAGTACCTAATTAAGATGTATTTGCTCTTGTTCACATGCCTCTGACACTTAGGCAGTCGATCTTTGTACCATGTGATTCCAGTCTCTTAACTGCAGCTAACTAACTGTATCCAAGGGTAAGTCATTTACAGGCTATAGCAGACAATCACATATCCTGATTTAAAGAGCTGCTCCTAATAGCTATGATAAATATAAATTAAAATTGTTAATTAAAACTAGAAGTATAAAAATATTTTGGCATTCTGCAGTGGTGCTGCAAGAGACAGACATACATAATTTTAATAATGATAGTTAGCATTTACCAGATACTAAATCTACCATGAAAACTAGTAATATGATTTCATTGATTTTTCACAAAATCTCTACAAGGTTGTTAGTATTATTTCCCTTTTGAAAATTAAAAAAAAATACCGAGGCTTTAGGTAATTTGCCTAAAATCATACTCCTAATGAATTATGGAGGCTACAGTTAGCTCTAAGCAATTTTGATCCTGAATTTTTATTTGCAACCATATTCCTGCTTTAGAGCTCTCCTAAAAAGCATTAAAACCAGATAATCTTTCTGCAATTCTCAGAATAAATGAGAGTCTGTAAATTATTTTGTTCTGCCTGCCCATCACAACAAGCTTTTCTTTATCTGAACCAGCTTGAGTGAGTCTTTTCTTTGCAACTCAATGAGCTTCTTTTAAAAACAAACTTGTGTCTGTGTTGAGGTATATTGAACTGAACTACAGGCAAATTTTCCTGGCTTTAGAATTCAAGTATTCAGGTCATAAAATCTTCAACCATTTGATTGTTATTCTTCCTTTTACCTCCTGGACGAACAAGCCTTATGATAAACAAAATCGTTTATTTTTTGTGTGCACATAAATATAAATCATGAACTCAGATTTCTATTATTTTGATTGCTTGATTTAGAGGTGTTAAATAAAGTTTAGCCTAAAGCTGCCTCCTTACATATTTTAAGTTCAGCCTAAAGGTTTTTCTGTACATCGTGAACTATAACAAGTGGAGGTATAACCCAGACGACAGCCTATACTTGTGCCAATCACCTAGTTTTGGCCAATCAAATGTAGCCAACTGTTCAAACCATGTTCAAATAAGTCAAATGCCAAGCTGTAACCAATTCAGCTGTTTCTGTACCTTACTTCCATTTACTGTATGTCACTTTCCTTTTTCTGTCCATAAATCATCTTCCACTATGTCGCTGTGCTGGAGTCCCAGTGCCTGCTCTAGCTCAGGAGGCTGCCTAATTCGTGAATCATCCATTGCGCAATTAAACTTCTTTAAATTTAATTTGGCTGAAGTTTTTCTTTTAACAGTTGGCATCAGAAGTGAGATCCAAAGTAGAGCTTCTAACGACCTCCAGGAGCGCTGAGTGACCAAGCAATGTACTCAACCACCTGTTGTGCCCATCGCTCGAGATCTCAGAGCAGCTGGGGATTGTGGTAAGTTCTCTCTTGGATCCCAAAGCTCCATGAATTTTTGTTTTAAGCTCTCCAAGTTTCTTTGAACAATTTTCTGATCCAAACTGGGTCCAGCAGTCACGACAGAAACTGAACTGGGCCCTTGATTAGATTAGATCCGGTAACTAACTGGCTTGGATCCAGTTAGAGGCCTTTTACATCTGACTGGGTCAGAAAGAAACAGGTAGTAAATAGTAGTATTGCAGGGGGTATAAAATTTGGCTTTTGGAAATTCGCAGGGATTTTTGTGTTCTACCCTTTTGTTTCACTTTTCATGCATGCTTAGGTTGGAAAAAATTGCTGGCTAAGTTGATCAACGGAACCTGAGAGCAAAGCCAGTATTTTAGGTAAAAATGGGATCCTTAATTTCTGAAGAACTGAGCTTCTTTTGGCTTATACATGGACAAGTGTTAGGCCCTGGAAGGAGCAAAGTCTTACAGAAATGACAAAATCTTAATAAAGATCATTTACAGTGGAACGTTCCAAATTAACAACACAGCACTGAAGTGCATTTGAAAATAGGCACTCCCAAATTAGTCTCATCTAGGGATGCCTATCGATATGCAGGAGCTCCTAAAAAGATTCTAATATTTTTATCTTAAAACTTTATAATAGGAAAATAAAAAGCTTAAGCAACTAATTCATTTTTAAAAAATTAAATCTGCCTTGCACTCTTTTCTGATGGCTGCTGTGGTTAACAGGTTTAGGCACGTACAGGACCATGGAACATGGGGAACTTTTGCTCCCCAAACGGGGAAACATGAGAGCCAATGGGACTGCTGAAAATGATCCCTTTGTGACCAACAAGCAGCTACCTGAATTTTTGGTTAAGTATTGCTGCAATGGGTGGGTCTTTCTCTGACCTTCCTGAGCACCTCACCTTCTCTACCCTGCTGCAGGCAATGCTTCTCTCTCTCTGCAAACCAGTAGTGGGAATGGTAAAAATCCCTATCTTTTGCACATTTTTAATTAATAAGAAAAAGGATTCATTAGGCTAGTCTTAAGCTGTAGCAAATCTGGTGTACTTTGTGCTATGAATTTGTCTTTCTGTGTTGTTCTGTCATGAAGAGGGGTACTTGGGATAGAACATGGGCTTAGGACCACATTAGCTTGTTATTTAAGATGGCCCAGCAAGCTGGTCAGTGACAAATTTTGCTTCAGTTCCCTGAAACTAACAAAGAAACTGAATGAGGCCTCCATCTTGTCTTGTTTTATGTCCTTGGGGGCTTGACTTTGTAACCATGTGGCAGTACTTTCTCTCTGTCTCTGCCATCCAGGGAACAAGAATTTTAGGGTTCATGTCATAGTTAGCTCTAAACATTATTTCAAGAAGTTAAAAGCCTTTGCAAGATCAAAATTGGCTACTCTAGACTACTTCTGGGAAGAGCAATGGAAACTGTCAATGATGTAGCTTTGTGGCTAAGGCTTTGTCTTTTCACCGTGACAACCCAGGTTCAGGATTCAATTCCCGGCTTAGAGAATGAGTACTTTCTGGTTAGATATCTGTGTAACTTTGGCCCTTTGTTGATTCTCAGCCCCTCCATGAACAACCTCTATCTTCCCTTCTTGAATCTTCCTTTCTCTGAGCTAACTTTGGAGATTCTACATCTTATAAAATCTGCTAACCACCTCTTTCAAAATACCTCATACACTCATGGTTAGGTCATAACCTTAGTTAAGGCTTGTTGAATTCACCCGTGATGTTGCTTTTGTAAAGTTTAAAAGCCAGAAATATTGGCAATCTGGGCGGGCTAAAGTAGAGTAACAAGAAATTTAAAAGGACTTTTAAAAAAGAGGGCTATGGCTAAAAGTCAGCTTAATTAAAAGTGGATCACCAAGCTACACATATATTTGAAAGGCCTTTATGATTTTATTCTCTTCATAGATCTTGTGTTTTTTTTTTTTTTCAGTCAACTGGATAGCTTTTCTCCATTTTGTCTTCTTGCCACTCTTGATGCACACATGCGAGGAAATAAAATAACTTCTAACAGCTCGTTACTCCAATAAAATAACTTACCAGGTTTTTTTTACCACAAATAGAAATTGCTAAGAGTTAACATTGTAACATGAAATCAAGACTACTGAAAAAACAGTTTTACATGCAACGTATGTGAAGAAAGTGAAATGTGCTTTTAGTAAAAGATCATAAGAAGGCCCTGGAATGTAAATTTTTGCCTAGTAAGATAGAATAAAGCTAAATGTTTGAGCAAGTTGTTGAAGGTTTGTAAAAAATTAATCTTGTAAAAAGAAATTCTGTGAATGACAATATTGGCTATTTAAAGGAGTAACATTTGGTTTTTCCATAAATTGAACATTGGAATAAAAGCACAACAGGGGCAGAAGTCCTGGTGACTCAAGCCGGAAATCCAAGCACTTTAGGAGGCCCAGGTGGGTGGATCACTTGAGGTCAGAAGTTTGAGACTAGCCTGGCCAACATGGTGAAACCCCGTCTCTACTAAAAACACAAAAATTAACTGGGCATGGTGACGCATGACTGTAATCCCAGTTACTTGGGAGGCTGCGGCAGGAGAGTCACTTGAACCCAGGAGACAGAGGTTGTATTTAGCCAAGATTGTGCCAGTGCACTCCAGCCTGGGTGGCAGAGGGAGACTGTCTAAAAACAACAACAACAACAACAAAGAACAACAGGATTTTCTCAGAGCACTAATCTACTCTTTAACAAAAATTTGTAAAGGGTTATAAAAAGGTTTATGAGAGTCTCACCTTATAATCAAAGTGATTAAGATTGAACAGATTTGTATATAAGGTTTTATTAAAAATTGGGGTTGACAATAGTATACTAATACAAGGATGAAATTTGGCTTTCTGTCTTGAATAAGATTTTCATGTAATACTAAAAATAATAAAAGATTTTGTTTGCCTTTTGAGTAAACTACAGGAAAAAAATGGAAAAACAAGAGACAGATTATCTGAAAATCTAAGTCTTCCATTTATCAATGAGTAAAGGTTTTTGCCTTTTTAAAATCTTTGAGTCATCATTTTGGCTAAATAAATGACTTTTGGTGACCTGGAATTCTCAAGTGTTTTGGACCTTTAACATATTTGATAGTCTGTCCCAAATAAAATTTCAGCTTCAAAATTGTCTTTTCTGATCACTAACTTTGGGATGCTACAGCAGGCCCCTGAAACATCCAAAAGAGAGGTAAACAGGATGATTTGACATGTTAAGTTACATGGAAATTGTTGTTAAAATAAATGATGTTTAACGTTTTTCGGGTTATATTTTAGTGAATGTTATTAATATATGTTTCAAAATTGTATGAGATTTCTAAAATTCTAATATGTCTGACTATATACTATCAATCAATTAAGAATTATGGTTATTAGGTTAAGTTATTGTAGACCACAGAAATAACAAATTTCCTTGTCAATTGTGTTTTTAACTATGACTATTTGTAGTCATTTCCACAGTAAATTGCTTAATGCTGATGTAGTTTCTGAAAAATTCACAAGCACACAAAATCCTAGAATATGATGTCTTTTAGGAGGTTCATGAGAGGATGCAAAGGACCCTGAGAAGCACTCTTGAATACAGATTTCTGGAAACTTTAGAGTCATATCATTTGGACTGTTCAAGAATTCCTGGAACTTTAATTAAAAGACTGGCTGGTTTATAAAATTGCAAATCCAAGTAGAACAAAATTTAATTGAATATCAAGAAAATATTTTCCAGATTTTCAAGTTAAATCAACCAACACAGAAATTGTTTAGATATACAATCTGAATGAACTCCATGGTCTCAGTCAAATTACCAATGAAAACCCATTAGTTATAAGTGCTATGCACATAAATTGGGAAAACAACTGGTATTCAAGCAGATATAAGTCCGATGTTAAGCATGGACTCATGGAGAACCAAGACAGCCACCTTGTCTTTCCTGAGTCCTTAAAGCTTTTGTTATTAAAGGTTCTGCATTCCATGACTCATTATGGAAAAGATGAAATAATCCAAATGAAATATATATTGGTGTGGTCACTTCTAAATTGCTAAAACAGTTTATGACCAATGTTTGATTTGTCAAACCCATATTCCTGGGAAGACAATAAAAACTTCAGGTACGTTCAGCTACCTGGTAAGCCACTTAAACATTTATAGAGGGATTTCATTCAATTGTCCTTTTCAATGCATGTTTTCTCGTATAAAAGCTTTCCTTTGCAAGAGGGCTGATACATACAACAGTCGATTATTATGCCACCGTATATTTTCACCAGGTAAATAAAGCTTTTTATGGTTCACTGACTTAAAACAATCAACTCTTCACAATCTAGAACCCAAAGACTGGATCTTCTAAGAACATTAGAGAATGACTATCCTTGCCATTCACACTGCAGCAAAACTTCAGAACCTTGAACCTTAGGTTCATAATCTCACTACTGAGAAGGGTCCCTCCACACTCTTGGCACTGTGCACCCATTGGAACCCTTAAGGTAATGCTAAACAGGGAAGTTTCTCGACAGAAGCAGATGGAATCTTTCTTTTATTTTTAATTTTTCTATTTCAGTAGGTTTTGGGGGAACAGGTGGTGTTTGGTTGCATAAATAAGTTATTTAGTGTTGACTTCTGAAATTTTGGTGCTCCCATCACCTGAGCAGTGTAACTGTACCCAAGATGTAGTCTTGTATCCCTTGCCACCCTACACCCTTTTCCACAAGTCCCCAAAATCCAACGTGTCATTCTTTTTTTTTTTTTGAGACGGAGTCTCACACTGTCACCCAGGCTGGAGTGCAGTGGCGCCATCGTGGCTCACTGCAAGCTCCGCTTCCCAGGTTCACGCCATTCTCTTGCCTCAGCCTTCCCAGTAGCTGGGACTACAGGCACCCGCCACCACGCCCAGCTAATTTTTTGTATTTTTAGTAGAGACAGGGTTTCACCATGTTAGCCAGGATGGTCTCAATCTCCTGACCTCGTGATCCTCCCGCCTTGGCCTCCCAAAGTGCTGGGATTACAGGCGTGAACCACTGCACCTGGCCCAATGTGTCATTCTTATAGCTTTGCATCCTCATAGCTTAGCTCCCACATTATGAGTGAGAACATATGATGTTTGGTTTTCCATTCCTGAGTTGCTTCATTTAGAATAATAGTCTCCAATTCCATCCAGGTTGCTGCAAATGCCATTATTTTGTTCCTTTTTATGGCTGGTGTATATACATACACACCATGGAATACTACTATAGATTACTACTGTAAATTTAAATATATAAATATATAAATAAATATATAAATATATATATCAGATTTTATTTATCCACTCATTGATGGGCATTTGGGCTGGTTCCATATTTTTGCAATTGCAAATTGTGCTGCTATAAACATGCTTGGGCAAGCATCTTTTTCATATAATGACTTCTTTTCCTCTAGGTAGATACCTAGTAGTGGAATTACTTGATCAAAAGGTAGATCTACTTTTAGTTTTTCAAGGAATCTCCACACTGTTTTCCATAGTAGTTGTAATAGTTTACATTCTCACCAACAGTAAAAAAGTGCTCCTTTTTCACTGCATTCATGCCAACATCTATTATTTTTTGATTTTTTGATTAGGGACATTCTTGCAGTAGTGAGGTGGTATCACACTGTGGTTTTGATTTGCATTTTCCTAATAATTAGTGATGTTCTAGGTTTTAATTTTTCCATGATTTGGAGTAAAAAAGGCAATGATTAGAAATGTATCCCTCATGATAGGCTCTGTAGCAGATACTATTGTAAAGGCTATGGTTACACAACAGACTTTAAATTCTCTTGTGAGAGTTATGCTAAATCTTAGAATTTCTCTAGATTACTTACTGGCTAACCAGACAAGTATCAGTGCAGCTGCTGGCACTTGAGTCCTATAGAGAAATACATCACATCAAGTATTATAGATTCAGTTGTAGGGATTAGTGAAGAGACTTAGTTTAGTGAATAGATTCTTTATCTAGCCCATTCTTTGATCTATTGATTTAGTTGGTTTGTTTTATGGGGACCCTGGGTAAGAAGCATGCTCCAAACTCTTGGTATTATACTCCCAATAGTCATAGTCATAGTCTCCCTGGTGTGCTGTATTCTCGCAAAAATTGTAAATATTTGCATACTGCCATCTCTAGAATGTCAAATGGTCTCTCTTCAACTGGAATGACAAGAGCTGAAGGAAATGTGTGACCATAAGGGCAACATAACCTATGAATAAAATTCTGAGACTAGAAACCCAAAATGATTGTAACTGAGAGTGGTGCTAGGGCCCTAAGTTTTGGTCAAACTCTCACCTAAGTGAGAACCTGACCAAAAGGGGAAAATTTTTAAACAAAATTATAGGAGGCCATTATTTTTTACTCAGCTCATGCACTAGGCTCCAACAAACCAGAACAAAACAAAATGGAGTTGCTCACGCTAAATGTGACATAATCTAACTAAGACTTTAAGGAAATGCATAGATCCTAGAACAGACCAGGTTTTAATTTTTATCTTGTAAACAAGACATTCATTCCAACAGAAAGAGTAAACTCTACTTTAAGCCTTAAAAAAACAAAAAAAAAGAGAAAAGAAAACTGATGTGCCTGTTTCCATCTTACAAAACCTGCTGTTCTGCTATTTTCCAGTGGGTTTCAAGATTAAATAAATACATTTACGATAGTGATAGTAACATAAATGACTAAAGTTTTGTCAATCTCTCAAAATTGAGAAGATGACCAAAATACGGGAATTGTTAAACAAAGTTTAGCCTAAAGCTACCTCTTTACATATATTAAGTTTTGCTTAAAGTTTTTTCTGTACATCATGAACTGTAACAAGTGGAGGTGTAACTCAGACCGTAGCCATTGTATATATTCTCAAAACTAAGAAGCCAGTATTAGTAAATTATTATTAACCAACCTCCAGACATTTTATCAAATGTACTTTTTCTGTTACAAAATCCCATCCAAGATAATATATTATATTTAGTTGGCATGTCTCCTTAGACATCTCTAGACTTTGACAGATTCTCTGATTTACCTTGTTGCTGATTACCTTGACACATTTTAGGAGTAGAGTACTGATTAGATATTTTGTAGAACCCCCAACTGAAAAATGGCTGTTTTTCTTTTAAATGATTATATTTGTTTTATGGGTATTTAGTAGGAAGACCACAAAAATTTCATATTCATCACATCATGGAAAGATTGCATGCAATCAACATGCCAAACCACTGTTAATGTTAACCTTGATTGCCTGGATGAGGTACTTCTGTCAAGTTTCTCCACTGTATAGTTATTCTTTTTTTCTCTCCTTTCCATGATGTACTGTTTGCAAGAAAATTTCTAAGTATGGTCTACTCTCAAGAAGCGTACGGTTAATTTCTGCCTCTCTGAAGAGAGAAGTATCTACATAAATTATTTAGACTTTCTCTATATAGGGAAACATATCTTTTTTCCTCATTTTTTACCCAAATATTTATTTATATCAGTATGGACTCATATTTATTTTATACTTTGGGCTAGAATCCAGTACTACTTTACTTATTTTGTTTCTCGAATTTCTTCAACTTTCAGCCATCAAGAGCTTTTTAAGTTTGGTTCCTGTGTTATTTTGACATGACCCATTCTTTCAATTTTTAGCACCATCTTAGTTTCTGGCACTACAAGATCTTCCTGGCTCATTTTGTATTTTCCCAATACTAGCTCTACATTCTACATTAATTTTTTGTTTTCAAATGCATATGTTGAAGTCTTAACCTCAGTACCTCAGAATTCATACTAATTTGGAAAACAAAGAGTCATTGCAAATGTATCAGTTAAGGTGAGGACATAAGCATGAGCCCTTAATCCAATATGACTGATGTCTTAATAAGGGACACAGAGACACAGACAGCGAAAGATGGCCATGTAAAGACAAAGGCAGAGATTGGAGTGATGCATCCACTGGCCAATAAACACCAAGGTTTGCTGGAAAACACTGGAAGCTAGAAAAAGCAAGGAAGGATATATATATAATTTCTTCAACCATTGCCAGTAACTGGTATGTGTTTCATCACTATAGTTTTTCCTTTGCCATAATATTATATTAAGAAAATTATGCAATGTCTAGCCTTTTGGATCTGGCTTCTTTCACTTAGGAAAAAGCAAAGCTATTTGCTTGAATTAGTACCCCATTTTTTATATTATTGAATAGCATTTTTTATACAGTGCACCACGTTTATCCATTTACATTTTGGTTATTTCCACCTTTTGGACATTATAAGTAAAGTTTTTGTGTCAACATTAGTTTTCAGTTCACTTGGTAAGCAGTTTCAGTGGGATTGCTAGATATTATGGCAACTCTATGTATAGCTTTATAAGACATTTCCAAAAAGTGACTGAACTATTTTTTTCATTTCCATGAGCAACAAATGAAGTGGTTTTGCTTTGCTTTCTCATCAGCCTTTAGTGTTGTCAAGTTTTGGATTTTTCTCCTTTTTAATAGATGTGCAGTGGTATCTCATTGTTGTTTTAATTTGCATTGCCCTGATGAAAATGATGTTGAGCATTTTTTATGTGTCTACACAATTATACACACCCACCAACAATGTATGAGAATTTCTATTTCTCTACATTCTTGCTAACAGTTGTTATTGTTTGGCTTTTTTTACTATAGTCATTCTAGTGGTTGTAAAGTGCTATCTTGTGCTGTTGATTTGCATTGTCCTAATGACCAATGATGCTGAGCATCCTTTCATGTCCTCATTGGCCATTTGTACCTCCTCACTGTAATAATGTTTAAATACTTTGACTATTTTTAAATTTAGTTATTTGACTTTTTTATTGTCATAAGTTTTTCTTTCTTTCTAACATGTTATGAATACAAATCCCTTATGAAATATATAATTTGTTGATATTTTCTCCCATTTTTTAAGTTGTCTTTCACTTTCATGATGTCATAATTTGCTGTACAAGAGGTTTTAATTTTAATGAAGTCCAATATTTCTAAGTTTTTTTCCATGTATTTTGATGTCATATTCAAGAAACCTTTGTCTAACCCAATGTCATAAAAGTTTTCTCCTATATTCTCTTCCAAGAATTTCATACTTTCAGCTGTTATATTTAAGATCTATTTTCATTCAATTGCTATGTATGATGTGAGGTAGGGTTCAATTTTATTCTTTTGCATGTAGATGTTTAATTTTCCCAGTAGTAATTGTTGAAAAGATGATTTCTTTTCTATTGAACCTTTCTGGATTCTTCTCAATTTTTCCTTTGAGTGACTGATTGCGTTCTTGGAGAAATCTATGAACTCCTCATAACCACAGACTCTAGGAACATTATACTTTCAGAGTAGCCCACAGTTAGCCACTAGCTATTTATTAAAATGTATTATTCTATCTGCCTACCAACTTTTGTGGCACCCAGTGACATAAACCCCAGGCAAGCAAATGCTCGTGTCTTATTTTTCACTGACGATATCTTTCTCCAGAATTTGGGGGTGATTATTCACCCTGAAATTGTCCTTCCCCAGTAGGTTCAAGAAAAATCATTAATTTACTGCTTGGGCAGCATTTATGTTGTATAAATGGGGACCGTATCATTACAGTTATCTATATCTCCCAGCTGAAACTATTCATAGTTTTTACACTTTTGAAGCATATCACCATTTATTTATCTCCATTTTGTTACAGCCACTCACTTTCTTTAGTTCATCCCATATTGATAGCTTTTATGTCCTACTATCATGTATTCATGTAGTTTTACTGTCACAGAACATAAAAAGATATTTAAACTATAATGAACTATTTTTAATATTGTTTAACTATACTGATATTTTAATCCATAATTTGACATAATACATTTAAAATAGAAGCCAAAAATATTCGACCTACTGGGTTTCTTTTTTTTACTATATTACTAAAACATTTTTAAAATTATCAAAGCATATCTATAGTTACTGAGGATTAACTATGTAAAAGACAGTGGCAGGGAGTAGAATGCAAACTTGCTCTGTTATGGTTTATGCTTTCAAAGAAATTAATATTGTTTACAATAACAAGGCAGAAACACATAAATACTACTGTTAAAAATCATTGAATTAACCAAATAATATCAAAAAAGTCAGAAGGTGATTTGCAAGCAACTGAGATGTTAATGGGATAAACATTGGATGCTATGACTGAGCAACTGCTGTGGACTGGAGGGAATGATACTTTGAAGCTTTATGAAAAAGAAGGATCTGAGCCTATTTTAAATGGTAGAACTTAGAAGAACAAAGTGAAAGTGACTGAGAGAACAGAAAGAAAATAGAAGTGGAAAAAATGCATTAGATACCAAGAGGCTTAGTTTATTTAGAGCAATGAATTTATTTAAAGATAAACAATATTAGACTTTTATTAAAAATCTCCACAAATAGTCATTTAGTTTGTCTATGCGAAACTATTCAATTTCAGAAGATTTCATGGCGGCCGGGCACGGTGGCTCACGCCTGTAATCCCAGCACTTTGGGAGGCCAAGGTGGAAGGATCACAAGGTCAGGAGATCCAGACCATCCTGGCTGACACGGTGAAACCCCATCTCTACTAAAAATACAAAAAAAATCAGCTGGGCATGGTGGCGGGTGCCTGTAGTCCCAGCTACTCGGGAGGCTGAGGCAGGAGAATGGTGTGAACCCGGGAGGCGGAGCTTGCAGTGAGCTGAGAATGTGCCACTGCAGTCCAGCCCTCCAGCCTGGGAGACAGAGCGAGACTCCATCTCAAAAAAAAAAAAAAAAAAACCAGAAGATTTGATGGTATTGATGGTGTATTTTACTGGTTTTCAAACTTTTATTGAGAATTTGATTCTTTTTTTTCTCTTAACAAATGTAACGTGGAACCCTGATATATGAGACATAATGCAGTAACAGCATTCTTTTAGACAGTTTGGTGGCAAGTTTTATATTTTTTAATGAATCCTTGCAGCAAAAACATGGAGGCCTGTGGTTCCACTGAGCAAAATATGAAAATTACTCTTTTACAAAATAATCAGAGGGAATATTTATAATTTATTTTAACACAGAAAATCCCAAGGGGTGATATAGCTCTACACAGTGAGAGATATGTACAAATGGGCAAATTAAGGCTCGATAGTGGAGAATAGTAAATTTATCTTTGCAGAGAATAGAAAACCATTGAAAGGTTATGAGAGACCTTTAACTAAATAAATGTTTTAGGAATATTAGGCATATTGTAAACTTTACAATGTGGTGACAAAATTGTCTAAACAATAGTTTGGCAAAACAAGTATTAGTTTTCTTTCTTCATATATTATTTAATTTTTATTATATTAATATAACATTTGTCACAATGAATACTTGGTTTCAATGTATATCCTTTTAGTACAAAAATATCTGACAGACTGCAGAACTGCAAAGGTAAACCCAATATAATAGATACTATATTCTCACATAATGATATAAAAGCCAAATATAGACCAATATTGTCTAATATTTAAAACAATGTTTAAGGCCATATTTCAAGGCATTTAATGGGATTAGATGTAGTTTCTAATTCCAAATTCAAAGTTTCTATAAAAGTGCAACACTATGAAATTATTATTTATAAGTTTCTGAACTTGCAGACTAGTCAGACATTATGGGAACAACCAAACCTTGTTATAAACAACATGTCTTTACTTATGCAGATGAGTTCCATGGCTAGAGCAAAAGCACTAATAAGGAACAGTCATCTTCTTATTAAAAATTCTTTATACGCTTAGTGTATTTTATAGCCTTACTACAGTCATCTTTGAGGAGGTCGTATTTTATATCTTGTAAGTAGAATCCTAGGACATCCAATAATAAAACAAAGTAAAAACACATATTTAGCTTAATTTTCATCTACATTTCTTAAGTCATTTACTGTTAAATGATTTACTAAATTGAAAATCTAACAAATATTAATGTGTTTATTAAACAAAATAACATAGCAGTTGTTAAGCATTATGTTATGCAAAATAAATAAAAGGAATAGGATTTATATTTAAACCACCACATAGCTTTTGAAAAATATAAGATTGTTCTCTGTATTCAAATAAATGTAGGGCTTTTGCATAAGATGCTATTTAAAATGTATTTATTTATTTATTTTATCTAACTTTTATTTTAAGTTTGGGAGTACATGTGAAGGTTTGTTACACAGATAATCACCTGTCAAGAAGATTTGTTGTTAATATTATTTCATCACCCAGGTATTAAGCCCAGTACCTAGTAGTTATCTTTTCTGCTCCTCACCCTCCTTTTCCCCTGCCCCCTCAAGTAGACCCCGGTGTCTGTTGATTCCTTATTTGTGATCATAAGTTCTTATCATTTAACTCCAACTTATAAGTGAGAACATACAGTATTTAGTTTCCTCTTCCTGCATTAGTTTACTAAGGATGATAGCCTCCAGTTCCATCCATGTGCCCACAAAAGACATCACCTTATTCTTTTTGCTTTTAGCTGCATAATATTCCATCGTGTATATGTACATTTTCTTTATCCAATGTGTCATTGATGGGCATGTGTGATGATTCCATGTCTTTGCTACTGTTAATTGTGCTGCGGTGAACATATGCATGCATGTGTCTTTATGGTAGAATGCTTTATATTCTGCTGGGTATATACCCAGTAATAGGATTGCTGGGTCGAACAGTAGTTCTGCTTCTAGCTCTTTGAGGAATAGCCATACTGCTTTCCACAATGGTTAAACCAATTTACACTCTCACCAACAGTGTATAAGTGTTCCCTTTTCTCCAAAACATTGCCAGCATCTGTTATTATTATTATTATTATTATTATTATTATTATTAACAGTAGCTATTCTGACTGGTGTGAAATGGTATCTCGTCATTTTGATAGCATTTCTCTAATGATCATTGATATTGAACTTTCTTTCATATACTTCTTGGCTGCATGTCTACCTTCTTTTGAGAAGTGTCTGTTCATATCCTTTGCCTACTTTTTAATGGGGCTTGTTTTTCTCTTGTAATTTTGTTTAAACTCCTTATAGATGCTAGAACTTAGACCTTTGTCAGATGTGCAGTTTGCAAATATTTTTTCCCATTCTGTAGGTTGTCTGTTTACTCTGCTGATAGTTTCTTTTGCTGTGCAGAAGCTCTTAACTTTAATTAGATCCTACTTCTAAATTTTTGCTTTTGTTGTCGTTGATTTGGTGTCTTTATCATAAAATCTTTGCCCGTTCCTATGTCCACGATGATTGTCTCCTAGGGTTTTTACAGTTTGAAATTTTACATTTATGTCTTTAATCCATCTTGAGTTGATTATGTGTATGGTGTAAGGAAGTGGTTTAGCTTTAATCTTCTACATATAGCTAGCCATTTATCCCAGTACCATTTACTGAACAGGGAGTCTTTTTCCCATTGCTTGTTTTTGTCAGCTTTGTCAAAGATCAGATGGTCATAGAAGGGTGATCTTATTTTGGAGCTCTTTATTCTGTTCCATTGGCCTATATGCCTGTTTTTGAACCAGAACCATGCTGTTTTGGTTACTGTAGCCTCGTAGTATAGTCTGAAGTTGGGTAACATGAAGCCTCCAGCTTTGCTACTTTTGCTTAGGATTGCCTTGGCTATTTGGGTTCTTTTTTGGTTCCACATGAATTTTAAAATAGCTTTTTCCAGGCCGGGCGCGGTGACTCACGCCTGTAATCCCAGCACTTTGGGAGGCCGAGGCGGGCAGATCACGAGGTCAGGAGATCGAGGCCATCCTGGCTAACACGGTGAAACCCTCTCTACTAAAAATACAAAAAATTAGCCGGGCGTAGTGGCGGGCGCCTGTAGTCCCAGCTACTCGGGAGGCTGAGGCAGGAGAATGGCATGAACCCGGGAGGCGGAGCTTGCAGTGAGCCGAGATAGCGCCACTGCACTCCAGCCTGGGCGACAGAGCGAGACTCCGTCTCAAAAAAAAAAAAAAAAAAAAAAAATAGCTTTTTCCAGTTCTGTGAAGAATGTCTTTGGTAGTTTGATAGGAATAGCACTGAATATGTAAATTGCATTGGGCAGTAAAGCCATTTTATTGGTATTGATTCTTTCTATCCATGAGCATGAGATATTTTTCCATTTGTTTTGTGTCTCCTCTGATTTCTTTGAACAGTGTTTTGTAATTCTCATCGTAGATACCATTCATTTTCCTCGTTAGCTGTATTTGTAGGCATTTTTTGTGTGTGTGGCAATTGTGAATGGGATTGCCTTTCTGATTTGGCTCTCAGTTTCACTATTGTTGGTGAATAGAAATGCTAGTAATTTTTATACATTGAATTTGTATACAGCAACTTTGCTAAACTTGTTTATCAGCTGAAAGAGCTTTTGGCCCAAGACTGTGGGGTTTTCTAGATATAAAATTAGGTTGTCTGCAAACAGAGATAATTCAGCTTCCTTTCTACCTGTTCAGATGCACTTTGTTTTTTTTTTTTCCTACCTGCTTGCTTTGGCTAGGACTTCCAATACTATGTTGAATAGAAGTGCAGAGAGAGGGCATCTTTGTCTTGTGCTGGATTGCAAGGGGAATGCTACCAGCTTTTTCCCAATCATTATAATGTTGGCTTTGGGTTTGTCATAGATGGCTCTAATTATTTAGAGGTATGCTATTAGGGTTCTCTAGAGGAACAAGACTAACAGTATACATGTATATATGAAAGGGTGTTTAAGGAGTGTTGACTCACGCAGTCACAAGGTTAATTCTCACAATAGGCTGTCTTAAGCCGAGGAGCAAAGAAGACAGTATGAGTCCCAAAACCTCAAAAGTAGGGAAGCCGACAGTGCAACCTTCAGTCTGTGGCCAAAGGCCCGAGATCCCCTGGCAAAGCACTGGTGTAAGCCCAAGAGTCCAAAAGCTGAAGAACTTGGAATCTGATGTTCAAGGCAGAAAGCATCCAGCACTGGAGACTCAGCCAGTCTACTCTTTCCATGTTCCTCTGCCTGCTTTTATCCTAGCTGTGCTAGCAGCTCATTAGATGGTGCCCACCAAGACTAAGGGTGGGTCTGCCTCCTTTAGACCACTGACTCCAATATTAATCTCCTTTGGCAAACCCTCACAGACACACCCAGTAACAATACTTTGCATCCTTCAATCCAATCAAGTTGACACTCAGTATTAACCGTCACAGGTACTTTCCTTTAATACCTAGGTTATTGAGAATTTTTAATATGAAGGAATGTTGAATTTTATCAAAGGTCTTTTCTGTGTCTATTGAGATAAACTACATGATTATCTTGTGGTTTATTATAATTAATTATCAACTTTGAATCCTGGGGACGAAGCCTACTTGATCATGATAGATTAGCTTTTAGATGTGCTACTGGATTTGGTTTGCAAGTATTTTGTTTAGGATTTTTGCATTGATATTCACAGAAAAATGTTGGCCTTAAGTTTCCTTTTTTGTTGTGTTTTGCCTGTTTTTGGTATCTAGATGATGCTAGTCTCATAGAACGACCTGGGGAGGAGTCCTTCCTCCTCAATTTTTTGGAATAGTTTCAGTAGGTATGATACCAGCTCTTCTTGGTACACCTGGTAGAGTTTGGCTGTGAATCCTTCTGATCCTGGGCTTTTTTTGGTTGGTAGGCAAGCTATTTGTTATTGATTCAATTTTGGAGGTTATTATTGGTCTGTTCAGAGAATCAATTTCTTCTGGCTCAGTCCTGGGAGGATGTGTTTGTCCAGAAATTTACTCATCTCTTCTAGGTTTTCTAGTTTGTGTGCATAGAGATGCTTATCATAGTTTCTAATGACTGCTTTTATTTCTGTGCTGTCAGTAGCAACATTCCCTTTATAATTTCTAATTGTGTTTACTTGGATCTTTTTTCTTCTCTATTAGTCTATCTTGTAATTTTTTTTCAATGTTTGGATTTGTTGATCTTTTGAATTTTTTTGTGTGTGTGTTAATTTCCTTCAGTTAAGCTCTGATTTTTGTTATTTCTTGTCTTCTGCTAGCTATGGGGTTGATTTGTTCTTGTTTCTCTAATTCTTTCAGTTGTAAAGTTAGGTTGATAATTTGAGATCTTTCTAACTTTTTGGTGTGTGCATTCAGTGCTAGGAATTTCCTTCTTAACACTGCCTTAGCTATGTCCCAGAGATTCTGGTATGTTGCATCTTTGTTCGCATTATTTTCAAATAACTTCTTGATTTCTGCCTTAATTTCATTATTTACCCCAAAGTCATTCAGGAGCATGCTGTTTAATTTGCAACTTTTATAATCTTGACTTTTGTTTCTATGGTGCTGTGTTCTGAGAGTGTGTTCTGTATGATTTTGGCTCTTTTATATTTGTTGAGGATTATTTTGAGCCCAATTATGTGATCAATTTTAGCATATATTCCACGTCATGATGAGAAGAATGTATATTCTTTGTTTTTGAGTGAAGAGTTCTGTAAAGGTCTATCAGATCCATTTGCTCCAGTGTTGAGTTTAGGTCCTGATATGGTCTGACTCTGTGTCCCAACCCAAATCTCATCTTAAATTGTAATCTGAATTGTAATCCCCATGTTTTGGGGGAGGGACCTCCTGGGATGTGATTAGATCATGGGGTGGGCTTTCCATGCTGTTCTCATGATAATGAGTGAATTCTCGTGAGATCCAGTGGTTTATAAGGTATTTTCCCCACTTTGCTCATTCTTCTCCTTCCTGCCACCATGTGAAGAAGAACGTGTTTGCTTCCCCTTCTGCCATAATTGTAAATAAGTTTCCTGAGGCCTCCCCAGCCCTGCGAAACTGTGAATCAATTAAAACTTTTTCCTTTATAAATGACTCAGTCTCAGGTATTTCTTCATAGCAGCACGAGAAAGGACAAATAAAGGTCCTGAATATCTTTGCTAATTTTTGGCCTCAGTGATCTGTTTAATACTGCCAGTAAAGTGTTGAAGTCTCTCAGTAATATTGTGTGAGAGTCTATGTCTCTTTGTAGGTCTCTAAGAACTTGCTTTATGAATCTGAGTGCTCCTATGTTGGGTGTATATATATTTGGAATAGTTAAGTCTTGTTGTTGAATTGAACACTTTACATTATGTAATGCCTTTCTTTGTCTTTTTTGATCTTTGTTGGTTTAAAATCTGCTTTGTCTGAAATTAGAATAGCAACCTCTGTTTTTTTTTCTGTTTCATATTTGCTTGGTATATTTTTCTCCATCCCTGTATTTTGAGTCTATGAGTGTCAGTACCTGTGAGATGGGTCTTTTGAGGATAACATTGGGTCTTGCTTTTATAACCAGCTTGCCACTCTTTGCCTTTTAAGTGGGGATATTTAACCCATTTGCATTAGTATTAATATGTGTATTGATATTGTATTGATATTAGTATTGATATGTGTGGATTTGATCCTGTCATTGTGATGTTACCTAGTTATTATGTTGGCTTGTTTGTATGGTTACTTTAAAGTATCACTGGTCTGTGTGTTTAAGTGTGGCTTTTTATTAGCTGGTACCAGTCTTTCCTTTCCATATTTAGTGGTCTTTTCAAGATCTCTTGTTAAGCAGGTCTGGTGATAATGAATTCCCTCAACATTTGCTTATCTGGGGAGGATCTTATTTCTCCTTCACTTAGGACTGGATATGAAATTCTTGGTTGAATTTTTTCTAAAGAATGTTGAATATAGGCCCCCAATCTATTCTGGCATTAGGGTTTCAGCTGAGAAGTCTGCTGTTAGCCTGTTAGGGTTCCCTTTGTAGGTGACCTGCTCTTTCTCTCTGGCTGCCTTTAACATTTTTTCTTTCATAGCAACCTTAGAAAATCTGATGATTATGTTCCTTGGGCATGATCTTCGTGTGTAGAATCTTGCAGGAGTTATCTGCATTTCTTGAATTTGACAGTTGGCCTCTCTAACAATGTTAGGGAAGTGTTCATGAATAATATTCTGAAATATGTTTTCCAAGCTGTTTGCTTTCTCCCCCTCTCTTTCAGGAATGCCAATAATTCATAGATTTGGCATTTTTATATAATCCCATACTTCTTGGAGGTTTTGTTCACTTTTTTATTCTTTTTTAAATTTTTATCAGATCATCTTATTTCTGAGAACACGTCTTTAAGTTCTAAGATTCTTTCCTCAGCTTGGTTTATCCTGCTGTTAATACTTGTGATAGCATTGTGAAATTCTTGTATTGTGTTATTGAGCTCTGTCAGACCCATTAGGATTTTTTTTTAATCAGCTATTTTTTCCTTTAGCTCCTCTGCCACTGCTTCTGCAGTGGAACTTCCCTTGCCACTCTCAGAATAAAGAAGTGTTAAAGATCCTAAGTATTTTTTTTAACACCTCCAACAAGCTACAGTCAACCAAAGTAGAAGAGGCTAGTCCATCTCCCACAGGTCCCACACATATCCCACTGCTGGTAACAAGACAGGAAATCCCTGGCTTGGGCCCAGAGCACAGACCCTCCATCCTGGGTGAATTACACTGAGCAATTGGTTACTTGCACCTCTCTGGGGTGGAAACTCTGAGAGACAGGCTAACAACCCTCTACCACAACCACTGCTAAAATTTCTTCCTCTGCTGCCTCTAAGGTGGGGAAGAAACATAAACATTGAGATTACCTCAGAGCTGCAATGGGCAGTCCAGGAGTGCCATGTAAGGATCTACAGCCAGCAATCAAAGGAAAGAAGAACCGACACTTTCAGAGCATTGAGAGGGAACATGGCTGCAACTGTGAGAATACAGGGTAGCCATACAGCTGAGAAACATTCTATCAAATGACCAATAAGCCTATATACTACCTCTAGATTATACCCCAAAGCTTCAACACCAAAAATACCTCACTAATATCCACTCCTCTGAAACCAGAGACAAGAAGGCAGCTTCAAATAAAGACCCTGCACAAAGCCTGAGACCAGTGAAAACATTCAGAAAATAAGCCTATTGATTTTACTCAATCAACACTGCAGATAAAGGAGCACCCACACACAGATATGAGAAAGAACCAATGCAAGAACTCTAATAACTCAAATGGCCAGAGTGTTGTATGTCCTTCAAATGACTGCACCAGTTCTTTAACAAGAGTTCTTAACCAGGCTAAACTGGCTGGAATGACAAATAGAATTCAGAGTATGGATAGAAACAAAGATCATTGAGATTTATAAGGACAGCAAAACTTGACCCAAGGAAAATAATAATCATAATAAAACAATCCAAGTGTATTTTATAACACATTCTAATGAACTCTTTTGGGTTATACTATTTTTTAAAAAAAATTAAGAGAAGTTTTTTGTTGTTGTTCTTTCTCTGTAAGTAGAAATTAATCAGACATTTTTAAATTTTTAATCATTTACTTTAAGACAACAAAGATGTAGCCCATTAATTAATGAGCATTTTTATAAACAAATCTTGAAGCAATAAAAAACTAAATAAGAGTTCACATTTAAAAAGCAATAACATATTAAATCTGTTTTTCGAGTTGCTTTACTCAGGCTATTTTCTGTGCTTCTGCTCCTTTGTGAACATATGCTGCTTCATTCTGACTGAAAAGTTTAAATGAAGCACCTTAAAGAAGGGGCATGAAGAATATAAAGAAAATTGTGTATAAAGACTAAATGTCTTTTTCGGGTGCTTTTTAAAAGAATTTTATTTAAAATCATTCTACCAATGACATTTTTTTCAGGTATTTAAAAGATATAGAATTATTTTCAGTATTAAAGGACACTATCTGTATTTGTAACTATGATAAAAGGGTCATCTCTTGTGGTTAATAACACCAATTATCTTTTAAATACATTATAGAAAATTAAAAATATATCATCACCAATTTGCCTATAAATGTTTTTCTTTATTCAATAGTGGTGTTTATTAATTGGTACAAATCTTTTTATTTTCAGAGCAATAAAAGCATGAAAAACTTTATTTTTAAAAGAATCTTTCATAATAAACCTCAGCTACACCATTACTAACAACTTTGACAAATATACTTTATTATAAACCTGTAAATGCCTAATACTGTGCAATTAAAATAATTTTGTATCATTATTCTTGCTAGCAAAATAGCTTTTCATTTTTTGTTCAACATGAGAAAAATAATGAGGTAAGTGTTTTGAACTGAAGATCTCATTATAGTTTACTAAGAAGACAATATTGTATTTGTTACAACCTTGATAGAACTAATGAAAAGAAGTACATGGGACTTGGCTGTTACCTATCAGTTCAGCAACATGTGATAATATCTATTTAATTAATTATATCTAAAGTTCACATCTATTAATACCTTACTTCTGGCTCTGCACTAATTAGCTATTCACATTTAGTCATGCTACTAACAATTTTGTGTCCTAAATTTTTCTAATTGTAAAATTAAGAAGCATCTCAAGTTCTGGTCCCTTTATAAAACTTTATGATCTGTGGTGAATAATTATAGGTAAACATTTAAACTGAATTTTCTTTTCACTTTCGAAAACATTTTTTCCATAAAGTTTGTCACCACTTTATAGGCTTTTATTATGCAATGCAAGTTTTAGAGAAGTCAAACATCTCATTTTATACGTCTTTGCTAAATTTTAAGTGGTGTCACAAAGTGCTGCATTAATTTATAATTTTTCATACTTACCAAGGTATTTCCTGTGTAACTACAAGTGATGGCTAAGATTAGTACAATATATAGTCCTGTATAATTTTTCTGTTAAAATCTGTCTTTATTAAAATATTATATTTTGACATGCAGAGTCAAACATAAGGAAAGAAGATTAAAAAATACATACTACTGGGATAAAAGTTAACTTTAAGTATGTTTAACTGTCAGTCATCATAGTCTAATTACATTCTGGTTTTCCTTATAGATTAATTCATCCCAGGTATGGGAAAAAAGATTTTGTTATATCTGTTTTAAAATTCTAATTCAGAAGACAAAAGTATAACTTTTTTTGAAACTGGTTTCTAGGTTTTTTTAAAAAAAAATTTGTTTTTATTAATATGATTCTTCAAAATTTACTTCTCTGAAAGTCACAGAAGCTACATTGGGTCCATAGCCCCAGAACTTATCAGTTTAGTTAATTAAGAGGGTTCCATCCTATTTTCCAGGTACAAATTTGTTTTTATCGAACTTTGCAAACAGGTATAGATGTAATAATAGTACATTATCTAATTAACATATTCAATCTAGTAATAGATCTTTAATCACATTTTTTTGCTTCTTTTTAAGTTGAGATTTTAAGTAGAATAAAGCCAGATGCAAAATATATTTTTCTTCAAATTTCAAAGTAGGAGAAATAATATTTAAAATTTGCCTGGAAAACCGTGAGCATTTCTAAAGTAATTTAATACTGAAATAATAGAAATTTGAATGGTTATGAAAAACAATAAGACAACTAGAAAATAGAGCTGGGCACGGTGGCTCATGCCTGTAATCCCAACACTTTCGGAGGCCAAGGCGAGCAGATCACCTGAGGTCAGGAGTTCAAGACCAGCCTGGACAACATGATGAAACCCTGCCTCTATTAAAAATACAAAAATTATCCTGGCTTGATGGCAGGTGCCTGTAATCCCAGCTATTTGGGATGCCAAAGCAGAGAATCGCTTGAACCTGGGAGGCAGAGGTTGCAGTTAGCGGAGATCGCACCGCCGCACTCCAGCCTGGGTGACAGAGCCAGACTCTGTTTAAAAAATAAACAAATACATACATACATACGTACATAAAAACAAGAAAAAACAAAGGAAAAGAAAAGGAGTACTACAAAATAATGTTTAAAAAATTGTTTTTTTTTGCCTGTGCTTTTGGCATCATATCCAAAAAATTTTTGCCAAGACCAATTTCAAGCAGCTCTTTATGTTTTCTTCAAATAGTTTTATGGTTTCATGTCTGACATTTAAGTTTTTATTCAATTTTTAGTTGATTTTTTTGTATGATGTAAGATACAGGTCCAATTTTACTCTTTTGCATGGAAATTATTAGTTTTCCCAGCACCATTTATTGAAAAGACTATTCTTTCCCATTTATGTGTTCTTGGTACATTTGTCAAAGATTAGTTGATAGTGCATGCATGGGTTTATTTCTGGAGTGTCTCTTCTGTTCCACTGGTCTATGTGTCTGTTTTTATGCCAGTATCACGTTGTTTCAATTATAGCTTTGCAATACAATTTGAACTCAGGAAGTGTGATGCCTCAAGCTTTTTTTTTTTTCTTTTTCTCAAGATTGCTTTGGTTATTCAGGGTGTTTGTGATTCCATATTAATTTTAGGATTATTTTTAGTATTCCTTTGAATAATGCCATTGGGATTTTGATAGGAATTGTTTTGAATCAAAAGACTGCTTGAGGTAGTATAGACAATTGTTTTTCTTTCCTCCTTTTTTTTTTCTTTTTAAATTCTGAGACAGGATCTTACTCTATTGGCCATGCTGGTCTCCTGATGTTATAAATGTTAAAATTATGTATTTTGACCATTTTAATCAGACTGTGTATATTTTGGCTATTGAGTTATTTTAGTACCTTGCATATTCTGGTTATTAGTCCCTTGTCAGATGGGTAGTTTGCAAATATTTTCTACCATTCTATGGGTTGTTTCTTCACTTTGTTGATTTTTTTCATTTGCCGTGCAGTAGCTTTTTTACTTGATGTCATTACATTTGTCAATTTTTGCTTTGGTTGACCGTGTTTGTTTGGTGTCGCTCAAAAAATGTTTGCCCAGACCAATGTCTTGGAGATTTTCCCCAATGTTCTCTTGTAGTAGTTTCACGGTTTGAGGTTTTAGATTTAAGTCTTTAATCCCTTTGGTTTGATTTTTGTACATGGTGAGAGATAGAGTTCTAGTTTCATTCTTTTGCATATGCATATCCAGATTCCCCAGCATCATTTATCGATGAGGGTGTCTTTTCTCCAGTTTATGTTCTTGGCGCTATTGTTGAAAATGAGTTCACTGTAGGTGTGTGGATTTGTTTCTGGATTCTCTACTCTGTTCCATTGGTCTACATGTCAGTTTCTATGCTAGTAGCATGCTGTTTTGTTTACTATAGCTTTGTAGTTGCTATGTCTATGAAGAATATCATTGGTATTTTGATAGGGATTGCACTGAATCTGTAGGTTGCTTTGGTCAATATAGACATGTTAACAATTTTTCTACCAAACCATGAACATGGAATACCTTTGCATTATTTAGTTTCCTTTTCATTTTGTTAATCAGTGTTGTATAGTTTTTATTATAGATATCTTTCACTTCTTTGGTTAATTCCCAGGTATTTAATTTGATGTTTGGTTATTGTAAATGTGATTACTTTTATAATTTCTTTTTCAGATTGTTCACTGTTTACGTATAGAAATGCTACTGATTTTTGTGTTTTTTATTCCTCAACTTCAGTGAATGTGTTTACTAGTTCTAATAATTGTTTTTTGTTTTGTGGAGTCTTTAGGATTTTCCTAATATAAGGACATATCATCTGCAAACAAGGATAATTTAACTTTTTCCTTTAAAATTTATATGTATTTTATTTATTTCTCATCTTATTGCTTCAGCTAGGATTTCTACCACTATGTTGAATAACACTGATGACAACAAACATCCTTGTCACGTTCTACATCTTAGAGGAAAATATTTCAGCTGTTTCCCATTCAGTATACTAGCTGTGGTACTGTCACATACGGCTCTTATTTTGTTGAAGTGTATTTATTCTTTTCCTGATGCTTTTGGGATTTTTATCATGAAGTGATTTTGAATATTATCAAATTATTTTTCATTATCAGTTGAAATGATCAGCACTTTGAGAGGCTGAGGCATCAGGATTGCATGAGCCCAGGGGTTTGAGACCAGCCTGGGCAACATAAGGAGACCCTGTCTCTACAAATAATAGAAATTAAAATAACATTTTAAAAAATCATATATTTTTTGTTCTTCATTCTGTTGATATGATGTATCACATTGATTGATTTGCATATGTTGAATCATCCTTGCATCCCAGGAATAAATCCTACTTGGTCATGATAGATGACATCTTTTCAATGTATTGTTTAATTTTGTTTAACAATATGTTATTGGAAATTTTTGCATCAATATCATCAGAGATATTGGCTTTTTATTTTCTTTCTTTGACCTTTTTTTAATCCGGTTTTGGGATCAGTGTAATATTGGCCTTATAGAAAGAGTTTAGAAATATTCCCTTCTCTACTTTTAAGAATAGTTTGAATAGAATTGGTATTAGCTCTAAAATGTTGGTGGAATTCAGAAGTGAATCCCTCAGGTTGAGGACTTTACCTTGCTGGGAGGCTTTTTATTATAGCCTCAATCTAGTAACTTGTTACTTTTCTGTTTAGGTTTTGGATTCCTACCTGGTTCAATCTTGGTAGGTTGTATGTGTCTACCATTTTGTATACTTTTTCTAGATTTTCCAATTTATTGCATATAGTTGCTGATAGCAGCCACTAATAATCCTTTGAATTTTAGAGTATCTGTTGTAATGTCTCCTTTTACATCTCTGATTTTATTTATTTGTATCTTCTCTCTTTTTTTAGTTACTATGTCTAAGTGTTTGTCAATTTTGTTTAACTTTCCAAAAAACTCCACAATTTTTATTTCATTGATCCTTTGTATTATATTTTTCATTGCAATTTTTTTATTTATTTTAAATTCTTTTAATTTTTAATTTTTTGGCTACATAGATGTATATATTAATGTGGTACATGAGATGATTTGATACATGCATGCAATGTGAAATAAACACACAATTAAGAATGGGGTATCCATCTCATCAAACATTTATCCATTGAGTAACAAACAATACAATTGTAGTCTTTAGGTTATTTTAAAATGTATCAATTTCATTTTTTCTATTCTGATCATTAATATTTTTTCTTCTACTAATTTTGGATTCAGATTGCTCTTGCTTTTCTAGTTTTCAATATGCATTGTTAGGTTTTTTACTGACGTTTTTATTTTGTTTTTATGTAGGCACTTATAGCTATACATTTCCCTCTTAGTTCTGCTTTTGCTGTATCCCATAGGTTTTTGGTATGCTGTGTTCTATTATCATTTGTTTCAAGACGTTTTTCAATTTCCTTCTTAATTTCTTCCTTTGCTCACTGTTCATTCAGGAGTATATTGTTTCATTTTTATCTATTTTTATAGTTTCCAAAGTTCCTCTTATTTATTTCTAGTTTTATTGCATTGTGGTCAGAGAATATGCTTGATATTATTGCAATTTTTTGAATGTTTTAAGACTTGTGTTCTGATCTAACGTATGGTATGTCCTTGAGAGTGAGCCACATGCTGAGGAAAAGTGTGTTTTCATTTGTCATTGCATATAATGTTCTGTAAATATCTATTAGGTCAATTTGGTCTACACTGCAGACTAAATTTGGTGATTCTTTGTTGATTTTCTGTATGAAAGATGTATCCAGTGCTGAAAGTAGAGTGTTGAAATCTCCCACTATTATTGTTGAAAATATTTGACTTATATATCTGTGTGCTCCACTGTTGGGTGCCTGTATTTTTTAAGTTGCCGTATCTTCTTGCTGAATTGACCCTTTTATCATTTCATAGTTTCCTTCTTTGTCTCTTCTTACAATTTTTGTCTTGAAATCCATTTTGTCTGATACAAGCATAGCTAACCCTGCTCCCCTTTGGTTTCCATTGACATGGAATATCTTTTTCAATTTTTTTGTTTGTTTGTTTCTTTGTTTTTTTAGTCTATGTGTGTGTTGATAGGTGCAGTGTGTTTCTTGTAGGCAACAACTAAGTGGGTATATTTTAAATCAGTTTAGCCACTCTTATTTCTTTTGATTGAAGACTTTAGTCCATTTACATTTAATGCTATTATAGATATGTAAGAACTTACTCCTGCCATTTTGTTATTTGTTTTCTTGTTACTTTGTGATCTTCTCTTCCTTATTTTCTTCCTGTTTTCTTTTTAATAAAGGTGATTTCCTTTGGTAATATAATTTAGTTTCTTGCTTTTTATTTATTGTATATCCATTCTATATATTTTTGTTTGAGGTTAACATTTGGCTTATAACCAATTGTTTTCAATGATAACAAGGTAACACTGCATAAACAAACAAAGAAAAACATGCAAAAACAAAACCAAAAAAGACTAACTTCATCCCTCTGGTTTTTAACGTTTTGTTGTTTCTATTTATATTTTATTGTACTGTGTCTGTCTTGAAATGTTGTTATAGTTATTATTTTTCATTGGTTCAGCATTAAGTCTTTCTACTTAAGTGTAGTTTACACACCACAGTTACATTATTATAATATTATGTGATGTTTTTGTGTACTTACTATTACCAGTGAGTTTTTTTACCTTCAGATGATTTCTTATTGCTTGTGAACATTCTTTTCTTTCTGACTGAAGTACTTTCTTTAGCATTTCTTGTAGGACAATTCTGTTATTAATGAAATCTCTCAGCTTTTGTTTGTTCATGAACATCTTTACTTGTCATTCATATCTGAAGCATAGTTTTACCAGATATACTATTCAAGGCTAAAAGTTTTTCTTCAACACTTTAAATATGTCTGACCACTCTCTTTTGGCCTGTAAGATTTCCACTGAAAAGTCTGCTGCCAGATGTATTGGAGCTCCATTGTATGTTATTTGTTTCTTTTCTGTTGTTGCTTTTAAGATTCTTTTGTTATTTTTGACCTTCGGAAGTTTGATTATTACATGCCTTGAGTAGTCTTTAGGAAAAATCTGCGTGGTATTCCACAACCTTCTTGTACTGGGATATTGATATATTTTTCTAGGTTTGGAAAGTTCTCTATTATTATTCTTTTGAGTAAGTATTAATTTTAGTCTTCACTATCTGGGCTTATTTGTACCCATTCTTCTGTGGAAGGCTTTCCAGATATTAGAAAAAACTTGAGTGTTGTGATCTAAGCTGAATCTGCCTAAGTCTATATGCCAAGCCCAGTAACACTGTGGTTCTTGCAGACTAGTAGATGTACTACCTTGATGGTCTTGAGCAAGATCCAAAAGAATTCTCTGGTTTACCAGGCAGAAACTGTTGTTCCCTTCTCTTACTTTCTCTCAAATGAACACAGTCTCTTTCTCTGGTCTGAGACACCTGGAGCTAGGGGTGTTGTGACAAGAGGACCCTGGTGGCCATCACCACTAGAACTGTACTGGGTTAGATCTGAAGCCAGCACAGCACAGAGTCTCACTCAAGGCCTATGGTAATCACTTCTTGGCTTCAATCTATGTTTGCTCAAGGCCTTGGGACTCTACACTCAGCAGGCAACAAAGCCAGTCTAGTCTTTGTCCTTCCCTTCAGGGAGGTGACTTCTCCTCAGTGCCAGGTGGGTCCTTAGGTGCTGTTCAGGAGTCAGAGACTAGAGCCAAAAACCTGTCCTGTGACTTATCCTTCAGCGTAGTGGGCTGCCATCTGGCCCCAGACAACTCCAGAAATGAAGTCTAAGAGTAAAGGCCTGAAATTTGGGACCCCAGGTGTCTGCTTGGTGCTATACCCCACTGTGGCCATGTTGGCATGTTAGGTGCAAGACTTTTTTCTCTGCTTTTCTCAAGTTTACAGAGTCTCATCCCATAGCCATCCCAGCTAGGAATGTGCTGAGTCTCACCTGAAGTGAGCAAGTGTTAGAGTTTCACCCAAAGCCCTTGACATAGTACTTGGGAATTTCCTCTGATTATTCAGGGCCCAAGTGCTCTTTGGTTAACAGATGATAATCCTTCCCAGAACTGGGTCTTTCCCTTCAAGAAAGTAGGTTCCCTTCTGGCCCAGGGTGTGTCTAGAAATACCAGGAAGTAGGATCTGGAAATGTCCAGGAAGTAGGGTCTAAAATGACTGATGCTCTAACCTGCTGTAGTTGAGCTGGTGTCTAAGGTACAAGACAAAATCTTCCCTACTATTCCCACTCTTCTCCTTAAGTGGAGAGAAGGGGTCACTGTTGGAGCCATGAGCTGTGCAGCCTGGGCTTGGGGGAAGGCTGGTACCAGCACTCCCTTAGCTGCTCCTGCTGGTGTATCAGTAGATGTAGCCCACCTAACCCAGCCCACTGTCTCTGGGCCCAGTTCAGCACTCGGACTTGTAGTCCTTGTAGCAGTCTCTATTCAAGTATATTTATGATCCCAGAGCACTTTAGCCCACAATGGCAAGGCTCGTGGAAACTCAAGTTTGGACCACTGGGATTGGTGATTCCCCTCTTACTAAAACTGATTTAAATGCTCCCTTCCTGGGCGGGTGGCAGCTGAATTGGTATGGTTTTGTTTTCTGCTATAACAGGTCAGCACTAAGTCAGTCCTCTCTCTGCTGTGCACAGAAACACTCCTCACCATGCAGCCACTGCTGATGTATCGGGGAGGGTTGGCATCAGCAATTCAAGGCTGTTTTTTCTACATCTTCAGTGCTTCTTTCAGTGATATGAAATAAAAAGCAGGTACTGTGAGTGCTCACCTGATTTTGGGTTATTATGAAGGTGCTTCTCTTGTGTAGATAGTTGTTAAATTGGTTTCCTTGCCAGGAGGATGATCAACGAAGCCTTCTCTTTTGTAATCCTGAGCCACCTCTCTCCCTCCTTCATGTTTCTTGACCTGTAAAAGTTATGTCATCTGAAAACAGGGCAATTTAACTTTTTCTGTTTTAATTTGGAAACCTTTTATTTCTATTTCTCATATAATTTTTCTGGCTAGGACTTTTAGTTCTATGTTCAATTGAATTGGAGAGCATAGACATCCTCGCTTTGTTCCTGATTTAGAGAAAATGCTTTCAGCTTTTTATGATTGAATGTAATTCCAAAAGCACAGACAACAAAAGCAAACATAAACAAATGGTATTACATCAAACTAAAAAAATTTTGCACAGTAAAGGAAACATTCAACAAAATGAAAGGTCAAGCAACTAAATGGGAGAAAGTATTTTCAAATCATATATCTGACAAGGGATTGATATTCAAAATATAAGAGAAACATCTATAATTAAATAGCAAAAAAAATCAGCTGATTAAAAAATAGGCAAAGAATCTGAGTAGACAGTGAGCTAAAGAAAACATACAAATGGCCAACAGGTCATTGTATATTGTATGGATATGAAAAGGTGCTCAATCAAGCAGCATCATTAATCGCTAGAAAAATCAAAATTACAATGGAATATAACCTCACATCTAGTATCAAACAGTCAAATAGTGACAAGTGTTGGCAGGGATGTAGAGAAAAGTGAGAACTTGTATTCTGATGGGATTGTAAACTGGTACAGTTATTTTGGAAAACAGTATAGAGGATCCTCAAAAACTTAAAATAAATATATATTTAAGGAAATTGCAATCTGTATGTGAAAA
Source organism: Homo sapiens (assembly GCF_000001405.40). Taxonomy (NCBI): domain Eukaryota; kingdom Metazoa; phylum Chordata; class Mammalia; order Primates; family Hominidae; genus Homo; species Homo sapiens. The sequence continues at coordinate 3,720,202 of NC_000024.10, read as the reverse complement.
AGGTATCTGCACTCCTATGTTTATTGTAGCATTGTTCACAATAGTTAAAATAGGGAAACAACCTAAGTGTTTGGTAATGGATGAATGGATAAAGAAAATGATATATATATATATATATATATATATATATATATATATATATATATATACAATGAAATATTATTCAGCCTTATAGAAGAAAAAACCTTGTGATTTGCCAAACCATGGATGAAACTAGAGGATGTTATGTTAAATGAGATAACTCAAACACAAAAAGACAAACACTGCATGATCTCACTTTTATATGGAATTTGAAATTGAACTCATAGAAACATGACAGAAAGGTGGTTGCCAGGGGCTGAGGAGTGAGAAAAATGAGAACATTTTGGTCAAAATGTTTGAAATCTTAAGTTGAGTGATTCTGAAGATCTAATACACAACATAGAAACTACAGTTAATGAAAATATATTGTATATTTGAAATTAATTAAAAAGTAGATGTTCAGTGTTCTCACTGCAAAAAATGCTAACTATATAATATGATGTATATGTTAATTTTGGTAATCACTTTGTATTGTATGCATATATCAAAGGATTACATTTTACATTTTAAATATATGTAATTTGTATTTGTCAGTTACATATCAAGAAAGTTGGGAAAAAGATTTTTAAAATGTAAGTGTTGGTGGCTGGGTGCAGTGGCTCATGCCTGTAATCCCAGCACTTTGGGAGGACGAGGCAGGTGGATCACCTGAGGTCAGGAGTTCGAGGTCAGCCTGGCCAGCCCCATCTCTACTAAAAATAAAAAAAAATAGCTTGGCGTGGTGGCACATGCCTGTAATCCCAGCTACTTGGGAGACTGAGGCCGGAGAATCCTTGAACCCAGGAGGCGGAGGTTGCCGTGAGCCGAGATCACACCACTGCCTGGGTGACAGAGCGAGACTCCGTCTCAAAAAAAAAAAAAAAAAAAAAAGTATTGGTGAGAATGTGGAAAAAAGAAAGCTTTTGTAAATTGTTTGCAGAGATTTAATTGGTACAGACATTATGGAAAACAGTATAGGGCTCCCTCATAAAATTAAAATTAAAACTACTATGTGATACAGCAATTCCACTACTGAGTATATATCCAAAATAATTTAAATTAGAATCTTGAATAGATATGTGCATTCCCATGTTTATTACATCATTATTTACAATAGCTAAGTTATGAAAACAACATAAATGTCAATTGGTGGATGAATGCATATAGAAAATGTGGTATATACATTCAATGGAATTATCACTTAGTCTGAAAAAAATATTGCTATATGTAGCAATGAAGATGAACCTTGAAAACATGCTAAGTGAAATGGGCCAGATGCAAAAAGGCAAATAGTGCATGATCTCAGATGTGGAATCGAAATAGTCAAGATCATAAAAGCACAGAGTAGAATGGTGATTGCCAGGTGCTGGAGGAAGGAGGAGATGGGGAAATGTTTGCTAAAGGGTACAAAATTTCAGTTATGTAAGATAAATCTTTTCGAGAGATCTATGGTTTAGTACCTATAGTTAATAATACTGTATTATACTTAAAATTTACGCTAAATGTTATTACTCTGAAATAAATAACAAAGGGTGCAGGAGAAAACTTTCAGAGGTTGTTCTGGCTAGGATTTTTAGTACTAGGAGTAATGCCAAATATGTCTATGGCCTTGACAGCGGTAATGACTTCATGGGGTTATACATATCCTCCACTTCATTGAATTATATCCATTAAGTATGTATGGCTGTTTACATATCAATCATACCTAAATAAAGTAGTTTAAAATTTGAGGAGTTTTAAATTTCAAGTTAATTAAAAATATACTAAGATTGGTGATGTATTATCTACCTCTTAAAAAAAATTACATTTCATACAATTTAAAATCACAGAGACAAAGCTCTTCTGGCATTTTATAAGAAAAAGCAGCTTAAATTATGAAAAGTAGTTCCATTATCGCACCCTTCTAGTTGATAAAAACATTTTGTTGTTTTTGCTGTAAGAGAAAATCTCAGCTCTTATACTACCCGTAATTAAAACATTTTTGAAAATGAATCTGAAAATTTTCCTTATGTTTAAACACTTTTAAATATCAGTTGTCAAATTGTCAGAGAAGCAGAGTCTTCCCAGCTTCTATTAATACAGGCATCTTCTGGTTTTGGCATGAATATTGCAGTGAGTTTTCTGAGTGTTCTGTAACTGGGAATGGTCTAAATCAAGCTTGCCCAATCTGCCACCTGCGGGCCGCATGCGGACCAGGACGGCTTTGAAAGCAGCCCAACACAAACTAGTAAACTTTCTTAAAAGATTATGAAATTCTTTTGTAATTTTAAAAAACTCATCAGCTATTGTTAATATTTGTGTATTTTATGTGTGGCCGAAGACAATTATTCTTCTTCCAATGTCATTCAGGGAAGGCACAAGATTGAACACCCCTGACATTTTCCTTGAACACTAAACTATTATGTGGACTGTTATACAGAGAAGAGAAACGCTTTCAGCTTTGACAGTGTAAGTTTCCAAGTCTAAATGTTGTCTTGAAGATAGGTGAATTTAAATCAGAAGTCTTTTACTAGTAATGAAAATAAAATGGAATCGTTTATTGGATCTTTTGCATTTCATAGCATTTTCGATGCATTTCAGTTGCTCATTATTTTAATGACTCCTACCTCATTAATATTTAGCCTGAAATTTTGAGAAATGCATGTTTTTCCTTTTTAAAAACATAATACATATTTTGGCTCCAAATTTGAATTGATTGTATATTGTGCTGTTAATCTGCATATTAAAGCATCGTTAATATAATAGTACAAAGAAATTTTTATATGGTACTATTCTTAACTATCGAGATGCACAGAAAGACTGATTCTATAAACAGCTCGAATTACTCATTATGATCGCAAGGGAAATGTTACAACAATCTTACTAACATTGATCACATTCAAAGGTGCTTGAAAGAATACAATATTAACACGTGCCAACTTTTTTTCTTTTAATTTTTAAACTTTTTTGTGGGTACATAGTAGGTACATATATTTATGGGGTACAGGAGATGTTTTGATACAGGCATGCAATGTGAAATAATCACATCATTGAGAATGGGATATCCAACTCCTCAAGCATGTATTCTTTGAGTTACAAACAATGCAATTATAATCTTATTTAAAATGTACAATTGGCCCGGCACTGTGGCTCATGCCTGTAATGCCAGAACTTTGGGAGGCCAAGGCCTGCAGATCACCTGAGGTCAGGAGTTCAAGACTAGCTTGGCCATCATGGCAAAACCCCATCTTTACTAAAGATACAAAAATTAGCTGGGCATTGTGGTGGGTGCCTGTAATCCCAGCTACTCGGGAGGCTGAGGCAGGGAGAATGGCTTGAACCCAGGAGGCCGAGGTTGCAGTGAGCCGAGATTGCACCACTGCACTCCGGCCTGGGCAACAGACCAAGACTCTGTCTCAAAAGAAAAAAATAAAATAAAAAGAAATAAAAATAAAATGTACAATTAAGCTATTATTCACTATAGTTACCCTATTGTGCTATCAAATAGTAGGTCTTATTCTATTTTTTAATGAAACTATTGTTAAGGTAATAAGAGTGATTTTTTAAAAATCATGAAAAGAATAATCATAGTCTATTGTACATTTATTTACAGAATAGTTCCATTTATATTTGAGGTATCAAAAGTAGTTGACAATGTATGACAAAATAATTATAGGTACAAATTTATAAAAGATGACTGACTAAAGGAGAAAATAATTTTGCTTGCTGATGACATTGTAACTGGTTTATTATCATTAAAACACTTTTAGTATGAATAATAAATCTATTGAATTTTGGCATTAGTTATTACCTTTAGAAGGTCACATGCTGTTCCATTTCACATTTTAAAAACTCCATGTACAAACATACAAACTTACAAAGCTTTTAAGCAGGTCAATTTTTGTGGATTCTTCCTTCCACGAAAAAAATGCATTTTATTTTAGCTAAAATCACTCCTTTCTGTACCACCCCAAGCATTGAATATATCTTTAGAATTTTGCCATAAAATATTTCTGAACTATTTCTGCAGTGTAGCATAAATTGTACCTCTACCCAGGAAATGATTTGACTACTACAAACTGGAGGCATTATGGAAGTTAAACCATTTAGCCTGCTAAAAATGACTGCAGATATAGCACATTTGATGTAGATAAAGAAGAGCATGCTTAAGTTTGAAACTGCATATTACCATTTGCAAGCACTGTGAAATTGTGCAAATGAATTTACCTTTCTCTCAGCTTCAATTGAATCACATATAAAATATTCTCCCTAACTTAGAAGATGATTAATAGTTTTAGAGGTGGTAATATTTATCAAAGTGCCTAGTGCAGTTGTTGGTGAATAGTAAGAATTCAGCCACTTTAAAAATCTAAATGTAAGTAAGTTATAAAGTTCAATATACCACTTAATACCAAATCCATGAATTTTGGTTACATCGTAGGACAGTTTCAAAAATGCTAAGATGAAGTAATTTCTTATTAAATATTAGGCAATTAAGTTTCATAAAAAACATATTACAACATATGGTACAGCTATGTCATAATTTGTGACCCGTATGATCTATTATTTTGTGTTTTCATTATCACTGACTAATTTAAATCTATAAATTCAAGATGTTTTGGAACTCTAGATCAAATGTAAAGTACCTTTAAATTTTCTTTCAGATAGGATGATACTAGTTATCATATAAGATATAGAATTTGAGGAGGTTTTTTTAATAAACTACTCAATAGATCAGTTGAAGTTTTACAATTGAAAATGTGTGAATTCATGGAAGAGTCACTGATCATTTTGGGATATTTATAAATATTTACGTTCTACATTATAGACAAAATAAGTGATTTGACTATTAATATTTCTGGAAAAACTTCTCAAGTCATAAGTTATCTGAAGGCAGGAATCATATCTTATTTATATTTGCATCTTCAGCACATAGCACAGTTCCTGTCACAAAGTAGGACTCATTAAGTGCCTACTGATTGACCGAAAAAATAAAACATCTCACCATTAATTCCTCAAAAAGGTAATGCTAACCTAGTTTTCCCAGACACTGATATTAGAAACAAAACTTTACTAGAGTTTTGATGAATTTGTCAGAAGAATGACCGCAGAGAGATAGTGCGGATGTTTTGTGTGTGTGTGTGTGTGTGTGTGTAATAAAAAGAGGGCTGGAAAATGAAAGGAAAGTTGTATAGACAGAATTGTATATTAGGAGACAATACAGAAGAGATTATCTACTTTTGTGTGTATGTTGAGAGACTGATTTTGAACTGTTAAACACAGCATCCTTATTTTGTTTTTGTGAACTTGCATACAGAAGTATGTGTAGTATCCTTAATGTGTTAGCCAGTAGGATAAAAATTCGCTTCACCTAAGTAGCATTGCATGAGTTGGGGGTACTGAAAAAAGTATAAGTTTAATGAATTGAATCCAGTTAGGAGCATACAAATTTAATTATATTCCAGATCCATAAGAGTTTCCTCAGAGGAATTGTGTCATATTTTAATAGAGATTTCAAAGGTAACAATTTCAGTTTGAAAGTGTGCATAATAAAATTTTGGGAATTATGAAACAATTTTATAAATTTTTCTTGACAACAGTGATGAGAATGGGGAAAACATTTCAGCCATACATAAAATTTTAGAGTGTGATTAAGCACCTTCCACCTTATCCCACAAATTAAATGATTTCAGTGTTTACAAAAAAAAGAATATGTAATTTCAATAACTGGAATTTTCCCTTTTCTCTCCACTAGGCTATGCTGTTCATTTCCTCAGTAGGTCTCTTTTATGCTAACCTTTTTTATTTGATGTGACTGTGGTTAGAATATTTAACATTAGATCCAGCGTCTTAGCAATTTTTGAAGTGTATAATGCATTAGTATCAACTCTAGGTACAATCTTGTATACCAGATCTCTAGAGCTTATAAATCTTGCTTAACTAACACTTTTTGCCTGTTCATAATTATGTACCTTCCCATTTCCCCCTTCCCCCAGTCCTTGGCAACATTTCACTCTTTGCTTTGAATATTTTAGAAACCTCATACAAATTGAATCATTCCATATTTTTATTTCTGTGACTGGCTTATTAAATTTAGCTTATTATCCTCAAGGTATATCCATGTTTTTGCACATTGCAGTATTTTCATTTTTAAAAAAGGCTGATTTGTATTGAATTGTGTATGCACCATATCTCTCTATCCATTCTATTTGATATCCTTTTGGAATCAATATTAGATTTTTGTGTCATTAATATCACCTTTGCCAACATGATAGACTTAAAAATGCCTGAATATATTCTCCATGAATGTATCAAACTATCTTGAAAAAGAATAAGCATAAGAAACAAAGATATCATGAAAGAAGCTCCTTGAAGGGGCTGACAGTGCAGCAAGGGGTTTAGGAACAAGAACTTTGCAATCTAACTGCTTGGGCTTAAATTCCAGCTGTGTTACAAACTAACTCTGTTGCCTACACAGGAAAACTGTCTCAATTTCTTCATCTATAAAATCAGAGATAATAATAGGACCTAAGTCCTAGTGTTGCTGTGAGGAATAAATGAATAAACTACCTGAAATTTTACAGACACTGGATGCGTAAGTTATGATGATAATTATTATTCCTGATAAGGTCTATACTAATGGCCTAAATTCTTATAAACTTGTATCTGCTAACTATTACCGCACAAAACTTATGAATGAATTAAATACTGCCTTTTAGTTATGTTTTTAGGAAAAAAGACATTATTATTTTGGATATTTGAAGTTCAAACTTATAGAACTCTGCTCTCTTTGAGATTCTCTCAAATTTAAAGAAATTCCTCTGCATTAATTTGATAAGTAGAAGTTACTCTACCATTTTAGAAAGGAGTGACTCCTATGTTCATATATCTACCCCTCAAAAATCATCAGTCTCATTAATCAGGGCCTTTAATCAAAGAACATATCAATCTGCTTGGAAGCTTTCTTTCTTCTACCATTTGGAAAAGTTATTCCACTAAATTCTTCTCCTACACATTCAAGACTTATCATACTCTCAAAAATTATAGCTACAAACAAGGAGTCCTAAGAGAACATGACTCATTTACAACCTTTTTCAAAAAGTGAAGAGGAGGAATTGAGTCCCCACTTCCTTACAAGTAATTAGGGAAATGTAATCCAAAGTAAAAAATTTGGCAATACCGGTTGTGGGCAAGGATATGGGGGAGGCAGAGACTTTTATATTCTTTTAATAGGACTAGAAATGTGTTGCATCCATTTTGGATTATAACTTGGCATTAGCATTTCTGATTGTATATTATAAAAATAATTATTTATTAATGTATAAAGAGAGATGAATAGGAATCTTCACTGTAGCATCATTTGTAATAGCAAAAATTGGGAAATATTCTAAGTTAACATCAACATGAATGAAAAATGTAAGTACATTTATAAAATACGGTAAAATCAAGATGTAAACATAAATCTGTATGTATCAGTGTGGATAGCCTAAAAACATTAAAAAGAATTGCTTGATAATTTATATAAGATGTACAATCCACAAAAAAATAGTCCATATTAACTTCTGGTTTTAGTGAATTTCTAGAGGTTAAATACAAAGGGCTATTTTTGATTTGGTTCTGTTCAATCTTACAGAAATTCATGTGGGTCATACGCATATATGATTAAAGTATAAAAAGGTCGATATAAAAAATTTATACCAATTGTGTGGTGATGGTTTTCTCTGGTAGTATAAGAAGGATGGGAGTGGCTTGAAGAAAGATAATTAAGTGACTTCAACTGCATCGTTAATTTTTTATTCCCTTAAATCAATTCATGATGCTAATATTTTCATGTGTCACTTTTATTTGGTGAGTTATGGGTTTTGCTATTACTTCCTTTAATTATCTATAAGAGATAATTTTCTTTAATAGAAAATCAATTTAAAATAGAGCAAAGTAAGGAAAGAATATAATGCAAAACACATAATGTACAGCTGATATATTAAGACCTTAAAACTGGCCAAGACTCTGATCTTTAAATCTCTAAAATAATCATAATGTCTATTGACTTGCTAATGCATTTCTGATTTCCTTTATAAGCTGCTCAGTATCACCAAATAAATAGATCTAATTAACCTCAGTTATTTTCAAAGTGTCACTTGCTCAAATTTTATTTAATGAAACTTGCTTTTCTATTTTATGCCTTCAGGGAAAAAATTGGTGGCTACTAATGTTATTGTGGTTTACTAAGTTCAGATATCACTACTTAAAGCCTATTCATGTTTCCTCCTAGCAGCTTTTAGGATATGACACCATCATTATACAGCATATAAGGAAAGATTAGAGAGAAGGTCTAGCATGGCTGGGGTTATTAAGAAGCTTCAGCAAAATAATGAGGGGGGTGGGTCAGAAGGAAGAGAAATAAAATAGCATACATAAGGATCAAATTAATATGCTTAGCTTCTTATGTTCAGGTTTATGATGAATGGGAATGACAGTTGTAACCCTGGACACTTAAGAGAATCCACCTGACAGTAATGGAAAGAGGAAATTACAGATGATGGGAAAGAGATGAGAAGCTGGTACCAACCAGCTTGTCAGGGTACTTGGCAACTATACTCAAGTTGATGGTGCGGGTACCAAGGAGATTCTGCCTGTCCGAGAAAATCATGTAGAAGGAGGCCAACTAGTTTACCTGGCATTTTTATGGAATATGTAGAGGGATACTCAATATCATCAGAGAAGTGCTTATCATCAACATCCTCATGGACCTATGGAAAGATAACATCATCACCATTGATATTTAGAAGAAGGGCTATTGATTCTCAAATGATTCTCAAATGATTCTTTTGTCATTGGTTTTAGGAAATGAAGGTAGCAACGTACAAATAACTGGAGAGTCATTAAGAATAGGATTGATGAGGAAAATGGCATTTACACATACTAGTATTTATAAATACTAAAATTAGAATAATAATTAAATTACCTATGAAATGGATTTTCAAGTTTACTAAATTATAGTTGTCTGCATACATGTTCTTATATACATATTAAATATATATATATAACACACATAGTGTCAAATAATATATAGATTACCATTGTGAGATTCTGATATTAGATATAAATCTCTCCTCATTTGATATTAGTGAACATTTTAGGTTGTTTTGATTAGTGACTGTCCTCTATTCTATGCTATCTTGTTCAGTAAACTTTGTGTTCCTTCACATTTGCTTCTGCATAACTATTTTTATCTATTTTTCATACTGGTCCACATAGTTACAGGTTCTTTCATAAGCTCTGATATAAAATTTGTAAGAGTCTTTATTATCTAGGTATGCAGCAATATATTTTATCAATTGTATTCATATTTCTATAGATACTTATTTTCTTATTTGCTTTTGTATAAATCTGTGCAGTCCCAGATTCTGCTTCTTTACTTTTCTATGAATAACTGTTGCTATTATATAAAAAAATTCAACCTTTCTGGGCTTCTGTGGGGAGATATGTTCTCTAAATATCTTCTGAAATGTAGCACAAGTGGAATGGCCTTCAATTTAAAATAGTTTTGACACTTGTTACAAACCCTGTAAGGTTAAAAAAATATATTGGTACATAAAGTGTGATACTTTGTGTATATATTGTTTTGGTAAAGCCAACATTAAGAAAGCACAATTCAGAGTGCTCAGCTAATATATTAATCAAGTATGTCCAGTTGAGCAGTGCTCCACAAACATTACATGAAAAAGAAACATACACTGGAAATGACTATAAGCATGCCTTCTGATATTGATGTCTCCATACATCTCAATCAGTAATGATGCTTTGCTCATTAGCATGATGGATGTCAAATATAAATTTTTTGATGTACAATAATAAATGGTAATATGTGATAGTAGCATAATAAATGTTCTCTTATTTGTGAAATTAAAGTTATTCATGATAAGATGTTCAGCTAAAATATTTTAAGACATGCCTTACTTTTGCATGGAACAAGACATAAAAATCCCTAAGTATTACATCCTTAGGAATGACACTGTAGCCTAAGTGGCTATTTCTACGGCCAGCTGTGAACTGCTGCCATAGTTGGTTGATATCGATATGGTTAATAGAATTCATTCTAAAAAATCTTGGCATTTGTCTCAAAATAACCTCTTACAACAAATAATAGTAAGAGTACTTAAAATCCAGTGTAATTGAAAATTTTCCAAGTAAAAAACAGATTGTGGGAATTGTTTCTTTTATATAACTAAAAATAGTTTGTTAATAAATGCCCCTGTTTGTAGTTGTCATGTTTGTAAAAGTCTGATCTAAGATTTGTTAATGTAATAATCCCCTCCAATTGAAATATTTAGTGGCTAATTTTAACTACCAGAAAGAACCTATACATAACCAAGTAGCATTAAGTCAGTTCACAAATACTTCCTCTACTCTTGCCCCCAAAATCCATTATTTTGAAGTCAATAACTCAGTGTCAGATGGTGTGTGAGCACTGCATACAAAAATAATTTTCAGATATAGCTCCCAATTTTAGTTAATAAATGTAACAGAGAAGGCATACTATTATTCAGATGTCAGTAGAACATTGAGCTGAATGAGTGAGTAGGTCTCATTATGCCACATAGGTAGACTTCCTTTAAAAAAAAGAAAAAAAAAGGGAAGAGGTATGATTTAATATCAATCCTCTAACAAAATGATTGAAAAAATGCAACATATGTGAGAATCTTGGCTCTTGGGTATATAATAAAATATAGTCAGGGTAGTTAACAGTTATACTCATATTACCACACAGCTATATCTGATCAAGTTGCAATTTACTGATGATTCAATCATATTTACATAATTTACCATTGATTCCAAGTTGTTAAGGATGTTGCCAGAATAATATAGATTTTGGAAACATTCCAAAATCTCATAAATGCAGAATACAATGAAATTTACTACATTGTAATTTCCTTTCTACTCCCACTCAGGAATTCTAAAATTGCTTCATAGTTTTTGTAATGTTATGTTTTTGTGGCAATTTACTCTCTTCCTTATGTATATGTTTAGACTAGAAGGACATTTTCTGAACAAAAAAACAAAATAATGGGGATGAAATAACTTTGATTAAGTCCTTGTTCTGTCACTAACTAGCTGTCAGAACTTAACTAGGTCATTTTTGTGAAAAAAGAACAATAATATTTGTTCTACCTCTAACAAAACGTTTATGTGTCACTTAATAAGAAAAATCCCTCTAAAGTGCTTCAAAATGTAAAATGCTAGGCAAATGTGATTTTTTAAGATTAAATTACTTTTCTTAAGTCCCCACCAAATATCCTTAAACTTGAGATGCTTTTTGCCATTACTCTAGAATGCCACCACTATTCACTGTATGTAGAATACTAAATATGGCATGATGTATGGGTCAGTCATGTACAGTGGAAACTTGTTCTATTCAAAGTGCCAATTTCTGGTTGAGAAACACTTTACTAGAGGGTGAAAGAGCAGGAGCATCACCATCTTGGACAAGCTCCTCATTCTAAAGTTCACCTTAATAAAAAAAGAAAACCTATCTAAATCCAAAGGGCATCAGCCTTAATGGCTAAGGTCAGCATGACCATAAACCACAAATAATATCTCCAACCAGAAACATCCCAAACTCCTCCCCAGGCAGAGACATGCTACCCCTCCAGCTGGGAAGACGCCAGCCCCAAGATAACCTCCCCTCTGCCCAGAGACATTTCAACCCTGCCATAAACTTCTGCCCCACACAGAAACATCCCAAGCTTGTAATAGGCTCCTTTACCCTAAAACCAATATATACTCTTAGTCTGTAAGAGAAAGTGCCCCTGACAGAAATTGGCCAGAAGCCCCCCTTGGGTTTTATCTAAAGTAAACCTGTCTTTAACTATCAAGCTGTGTTTTCTGTTTCTTTCCTCTTTCTTTAACTTTTACAGAGGGTATCTGTTTTATCTCTAGCCTTCTAAGACATATAAGCTCACATGTAACACAGCTCAGATTTTGGGGAAAAATAGAAATGACTATGTCTGTTCTGATCCTTTTAGCTATGCTACCATTTAACTCCTCCACCACCAACACCATGCCCTATTATTCCCCTTGTTCTTACATTTAACTTGCTGAACACAAACTCCTCTTCTAGAAGCCCAGTTTTGATGCCCATATATTGTTACCTGGATTTTGTAATAGCTGGATTCTTATATGACAGTGTTACCAGTGGAGAGTGTCCAGATTCTTGATGTCTTGAACAAAAAATTGGACAAAACACACAAACAAAAAAAGGAAAGAATGAAGCAACAAAAGCAGAGATTTCTTGAAAACGAAAGTATGCTCCACAGGGTGGGAGTGGGCTCGAGCACTGTTACAGAATTTTCTGGGGTTTAAATACCCTCTAGAGGTTTCCATTGGTTACTTGGTATATGCCCTATGTTAATGAAGAGGATGAAGTAAAGTTACAAATTCATTTACTCATTGTATGCCCTATGTAAATAGAGAGGATATTTCCTATCATAGCTGAAGTGTTTTCATTTGATTTAGTTCTAGGAAGTCCTTAGATTCCTTGCCTCCAGGCCCTATTCTCCCACCTCAACAGCATCTGTGAGCAACTTTTTTTTGTTCACTTATTTGTTATCAGGATCAACCATCTTGTTGTTTTGGGTAATTTCTTCCCCATTTCAAGACTCAGCCCCAAAGGACACCATTCACTCTCCAGCTTCATCCCTTCCCATCTCCAGATATTCTAACTCCTAGTCTATAAGCAAGACAGAATAAAATTTAAATAAAATATAAAGGAATTTTAACTTTTAGGAATTAATCTAGGATTACCAATTTTCTATAAAATTTCGGATTTGAAAGTCTTTGAAGATGTTTTCAACCCAACATTTTACCTAATATAAAACTCATCTATGCTGTGGTCTTAAATAAAAGCAAAGGCTTGGTTTTAACACTTTAATAATGGAAATTTAACTAAGCTGTTCAGTGTTAACTTTTGATTTTTACTGTTAGTAAATTTTCCTTGTACTGAAATGAAAACTTTCTCCTCATAACATATATCAATTTGTCCTGATTTTGTGCTCTTAATCTATTGATAATATCAAGTATCTCTTTCACAAATCTTTCAGATATTTTATGATATATGTCATGTCTATAGCCTCGTTCCTAATATGTCATGGCATAAATTAAACTTAATATTTTACTAACTTTGAGTCTTAAAAAATTGTCCATTGGCTTACATTTTTATTAAATGTATCTTTTATATATTCATCTAAATTATTGATAAAATTCTAGGCAGGAAGTAACAAAGTGATAAACCCTGCAGATTACCTTTAAAGCTCCTCTCTGTAGTTTGACAGTGCTGCATTATTCATTTATCTAAACAATCACTTATCTGTCCTGATATCCAATCCACATTTTCTCACATTGTACGTAAAGTTTTTAGGCCTCACTACACACTTTCCTTTATATACTTATTTAATAATCTGTAAGGAAACATATTTAGACTAGCTTGATGAACACAGTAACAACTTATATTTATTTTGAACAGAAATGTGGCTTGGCTTCAGAAAATCCAGAGACTTAAATAAGATCAAGCTCTTTCTATTTGCTCTACACTTCTCTCTGTGTGTGGCTTCATTATGTTCTCTCTAAAATCATTTTTTTGGTGCACTTTGGGAAACATTGCTACTTTCATCCACATAGCTTCACATCATACAGCTTTACCTACCTGAGAAAAGACTATTTTGCTCTCAAGCCCCTAATTCCCAGTTAAAAGGAGGTTCATTTTGTCAGATTGGCTCATTTGTTTATTGTTGAATAAAACAGTGGTCAAAAAAAATCTAACATTTGTATAACATGGTTACAAGGCAGCTTCTGTGATAAACATGTAAAAGATGAAAGGATCAGTACCTATAGAAAAGTACTGCGGCATTGGACATGCTATTCCAAACATGTCAGTTTTATTGATGTTTGATGAAAAAAAATGAAATGAGTAAGTCATTTCATTGTTTAGGGTATTTTTTTTTTAGATCTTTAAACTGATGTATTGAATACTCAATTTCAGATATTTCCTAGGCATTAGTGCTAAGTGTACTGTAGTTTCTACGATCCAATATTTTATCCTCTTTAAAAATCAGGACAACTCTCTCACTTAATCCCTTTGTAACTCTGTAATTTTTAGAATTCTCCAAAGATAAATGGTGAAAATCTGCCAAAGAATTTTCATAAAGAGATAAAAAGGAAAAGGAAATTTGGGGTTTTCTTTCTTTTTCTCATTTCTTAAAGATTACAACATCTTGCCTGTCCCTTCCTTTTCCTCCTTTCTCTTCCTTCTTTGGCTTTGAATGTATAAAAATAATAGCTACTACTCGCTAAGTCTCATAGACTTCTGAACCTTTCTGTAGACTATTTTACTTAAAACCTCTGTGGACGCCAAACAGTTGAGACAGGTCGCAGTCAATTAAGGAAGTTTATTTTGCCAAGGTTGAGGTAACACAGCCTCAAGAAGTTCTGATGACATATGACCAAGGTGGTTGAGGCACAGCTTGATTTTACACATTTTAGGGAGACATGAGACATCAATCAATATATATAAGGAGTACATTGGTTCAGTCTGGAAAGGTGGGACAACTCGAAGCAAAGGCAGGAAGACTCAAAGCAGGTCACAGACAGGTGAGAGACAAAGGTTGCATTCTTTTGAGTATCTGATTAGCCTTTCCAAAGTAGGCAATCAGATATGCATTTATCTCAGTGAGCATAGAGATAAATTTGAATAGAATGGAGGCAGGTTGCCCTAAGCAGTTCCCAGCTTGAATTTTCCCTTTAGCTTCCTGATTGTGATTGTGGGGGCCCAAGATATTTTCCTTTCACACCTCCTAGCAACAATCTGAGACACTTACCCTACTTATTAGAATAGAATGGGAGGCAGGTTGCCCTAAGCAGTTCCAAACTTGAATTTTCCCTTTAGCTTCGTGATTGTAATTGTAGGGGCCCAAGATATTTTCCTTTCACACCTCCTAGCGACAATCTGAGATACTTACCCTGCTTATTCAAGTTGTACAAAAGAAAAGTATGACTAACAAAAGTTAAATAACTCCACAAGATATCTAAGATAATAAGTGGTGGAGCTATCAATTGTATCAAGCAGGTTGGCTCTTAAGTACTAGGTATGCTGCCTCCTAAGAACCCTCACTTTCCCCCTTAACATTTTTCTCATAAATATCAAAATATTAACCTTTCTGTTATTGTATATGCTAGTACCAGAATACTTGACTGCATTATAAGAAACAGGTTGAGATGTCTTTATATAATACCTATGTATCACTACTACAAAGCTGATAACCCCCTTGATAATATTCTCTTTTATGACTTGAATAACTGTAACACTCAATCTGATTTCTGTCTTAACAAAATATAAAGCCTTTGCCACCTGGGGCTAATATTCATAAACCTTCACTTATTTAGTGAATTAATTAACAAATAATGTAATTAATTATTACTGATTTTTCCCCATTTGGGTGAGGTGCCTTATTTTTAGTTCATTTTCTAAAGATATCTTGAGCAAATTTTAGAAGCACCATACTCTTAAGCCTAGTCCTCAGTCATTGAAATTTGTACATATGACATTCACTATTAAAAACATAGTTTGAATTGAATTAACTTATAGCTATAAACAAATTTTTTCAGGATAAGTGACATGTCAGAGATATTCACCTCCTTTAACAATTATCACCCAATTATTCCCAATTTCTAACTTACACTCAAAAGGAAAAAATTCAATTTTCTAACCTGCATATTGCTCAATTCCTAGCTAGTGTCAAAAAATAACCCACAGCCTACCATTAGTTGAAGCAGTGAAGACAAATTTTAGGTAACTGACAGTATGTGATAAAGCAGTGCTCCATTCACATTTATACAAAGATAACTGAACATTTTCAAGGGAGAATGAGGGAGAAGAGAGTGTGGGGGGTTCAGTAGAGTCAAAGAAGTAAAAACGTACAAAGGGTTAATTCATGTAAATGTGATTAGGCCAGCTGCGTCAGCTGTGTCAGCTTCCTGGCAGTTATCGAAATGAGGATGCATTCTCCCACAGAGACTGGGGCACAGAGGACTTAACTCTCTTGATAATTACACTGTAAAGGAATGGCTCTCGGGCCGGGCGCAGTGGCTCACGCCTGTAATCCCAGCACTTTGGGAGGCTGAGGCAGGTGGATCACGAGGTCAGGAGATCAAGACCATCCTGGCTAACACGGTGAAACCCCGTCTCTACTAAAAATACAAAAAATTAGCCGGGCGTGGTGGCAGGCACCTGTAGTCCCAGCTACTCAGGAGGCTGAGGCAGGAGAATGGCTTGAACCCGGAAGGCGGAGCTTGCAGTGAGCCAAGATTGTGCCACTGCACTCCAGCCTGGGCGACAGAGCAAGACTCCATCTCAAAAAAAAAAAAAAAAAAAAAAAAAAAAAAAAAAAAAAAAAAAAACAGGAATGGCTCTCAGTTTCCTGAGAAAGATATTTCTGAATTTCAAGAGATACATATTAGCAATTGTAAATCCTTTTTAATAAATTGCTCTTGACAGAGGAGGAACATCACCGTCTTGACAAGCCCCTCATTCTAAAGTTCACCTTAATCAAAAACCGCCTAAATCCAAAGGGCATCAGCCTTATGGCTAAGGTCAGCTGACCATAAACCATAAATAACATCTCCAAGCAGAAACATTCCAAACTTCTCCCCAAGCAGAGACATGCTAGCCCCGAGATAACCCCCCTCCGGCTGGAAAGATGTCAGCCCCAAAATAACCTCCCCTCCACCCAGAGACTTTCCAACCCCATCATTAAACTTCTTCCTCACACAGAAACATTCCAAGCTTATGATAAGCCCCTTCACCCTAAAACCAATATATACTCTTAGCCTGTAAGAAAAAGTGCTCCTGACCAAAATCGGCCAGAAGCCCCTCTCAGGTTTTTTTCTAAAATAAACGTGCCGTTACCTGTTAAGCTGCATTTCGTGTTTATTTGCTCTTTCTTTAACTCTTACAGCTCTAAGATAAGGAACTCAGGGCCTATCATCAGGTTGGCTTGAACAAACAGAAAATTTTCCTAGCAGCCTTGTGCTTTCCCAGGTAGGCATTTTAATTCAGGCCTGGGGTCATGCTAGGCACACATTATGCTACTAGAAGCCATGCTACAGTTTGGTTAAGTCTCTTAGTGGAGGGGTTTGGATGAAATTGTCATGTGACAGGAGACTTGCAGTTGTCACTAATATAGTGGCTTGTTTACTTATTTTCAAAAAAAAAAAAATACCCAACAGTAAACTTCTAAATGGAAGATTAAGCAATACACAATCAAATAGTGTCTGAAAGATTTTTGTTTTTCAGAATCAGTAGAAAGTTAAAATAAAAAAATTAAGTAAACTGAGTTTTTGTTCCAATTATAATATGGTTGAAAATATTTTATTTTCTTTCTTAGCAGCCAGAAGAATCCATTACCTTATAAATAAAATACCTGGGATATTGATGCTGATGTCAATTTTTCCACATGTGTAAATGACTCTGTCTATGTATTTACATTGTATTTACAATTGTCATCTGACTGTTGGAGAAAAATAAACTAAGGGATCACAGGGCTCCACTGAAGCACTGGAATGATATTTGCTAGAAAAATTTTGATCCACATTGTCACTCTTACCTCTTCTCTGTCTTGCAGTTTGTGAGGATTGTACAAAAAACTGACAAAATTCTATTCTAAATAGCCTTGAACGTCTGCAGACTTTGCTCAATGGCAAAAATAAACATTGGTTTCTTAGATTTTCCAAAAGCCATCCCTGGTTATGGTATAATTCTTTTTATTGCACTGAAAAAATGTAACAGTTTTTTTACACACTAATAAAATCCAATTATGTTTGAAAGACATATATTAAAACCCTGTCCACAAGTTATTTCACTAAAGTTTCAGAATGTAAATAAATGAATCAAGTGTAATCCTCATCTTCTGTTACTGAAAAAAACTGTAATACAAGACTATATAAAAAATAATGTTTATGTAATTTATGATACATGGCAGTATTTTGTACTTGTACAGAATGTGTACCTTGTATTCAGACATGACAAGTTACTTACACTCCAAATTTCCAAACTTTCTTCAAGAATTATGAGGGTCAGATATTTTACTCTTCTTGCAAGCTAACAATTTAGCCTACCACAGTTTCATAGTGGTGGACAGAAGTCACAAAACTCCAGGATCAGATACAAAGGCTCTTATTATTCATAGCACAGCAAGCAGCATAAATATGAGTGTCAGTTTCCTTTGCCTGCAAGGTCCATTGATTTAATGTGATATGGATCAGATGCATGCTATGCATGCAATGGTTTGGAATTACAGCTGAGACACACTGAACTTCCCAAATCTTTTATGACAGTGAGTAAACATGCCTGACTTTGCACTAAAGGAAAACATTTTTATTTTTTAATTAAACTGGACAAAAATAATTTCGTCACTGTTTTCCGTAGGAATGTATTATATCTACATTTCAAAGTTTTTTTCTATACAAAAATCCTTGAAAAAATATTTTGGAGCAAAGGACAGATGGTGCGTTTCTCACAGGATGTGCAGTTGTATTAGTCTGCTTTCACACTGCTATAAATAACTACCTGAGACTGGGTAGTTTATAAGGAAAAGAAGTTTAATTGACTCACAGTTCCCCATGGCTGGAGAGACCTCATGAAACTCACAATCATGGCAGAAGGTGAAGAGGAAGCAAGGTACATTGTGTGTCGCCAGGAGACAGAGAAACTGAGGTGGACTGCCAAATAACTTTAAAAGCATCAGATCTTGTGAGAACTCATTCACTATCACAAGAGCAGCATGAGGGAGACCTCGCCCATAATCCAATCACCTCCCACAAGATCCCTCCCCAACACATGAAAATTACAATTTGAGATGAGATTTGGGTGAGGATACAGAGCCAAACCATATCATTCCACCCTGGCCCCTCCCAAATCTCATGTCCCTCTCATATTTCAAAACACAATCATGTCTTTCCAACAATACCTCAAAGTCTTAACTCATTCCAGCATTAACTCAAAAGTCCAAGTCCAAAGTCTCATCTGAAACAAGACAAGTTCCTTCTGCCTATGAGTCTGTAAAATAAAAATAAGTTGGTTACTTCCAAGACACAATGTGGGGTACAGGCATTGTGTAAATGCTCCCATTCCAAAAGGGAGAAATTGGCTAAAACAAAGGGGCTACAGGCTCCATGTAAGTCTGAAATCCTGCAGGACAGTCTTTAAATCTTAAAGCTCCAAAATAATCTCTTTTGATTTCATGTCTCACATCAAAGGCACAAGGATGCAAGGGGTGTGCTCCCATAGCCTTGGACAGCTCCACCCCTGTAGCTCCATAGGGTGCAGCCCCTGAGGCTCCTTTCACAGGCTGGTGTTGAGTACCTGCAGCTTTTCAAGGTGCATAGAGCAAGTTATTGGTAGATCTACCATTCTGGGGTCTGGAGGATGATGGCCCTAGATTTCTCTGAAATCTAGGTGGAGGTTCCCAAACCTCAATTCTAGTCTTCTTTGTACCCACAGGTTTAACACCATGTGTAAGCCACCAAGGTTCAGGGATTGTACTCTCTGAAGTAATGGTCCAAACTGTACCTTGGCCCCTTTTAGCCACAGCTGGAGCTGAAGCTACTGGGATGCAGGGCACCATTTCCCAAGACTACACAGAGCAGTGTGGTCCTGAATGCAGCCCAAGAAACCATTTTTTCCCTCCTAGGTTTCTGGGCCTGTCATGGGGTGGGGAGGGTGGTGGGGGCTGCAATGAAGACCTCTAAAATGCCCTGGAGACATTTTTCCCATTGTCTTGGCTATTAACATTAGACTCCTCTTTTCTTATGCTAATTTCTGCATTGGTGTCTTGAATTTCTCCCCAGAAAATGGCTTTTCCTTTTATACCACATGGACAGGCTGCAAATTTTCCAAAATGTTATGCTTTGCTTCCCTTTTAAAGATAAGTTCCAATTTCAGACCATCTCATTGTGAGTGCATATGACTGTACGCGTTTATAAAAAGCCAGGTCACGTCTTGAATGCCTTGCTGCTTAGAAGTTTCTTCTGCCAGATACCCTAAATCATCTCTCTCAAATTCAAAGTTCCACAGATCTCTAGGGCAGAGACAAGATGCCGCTAGTCTCTTTGCTAAAGCACAGCATGAGAGACATTTACTCCAGTTCCCAGTAAATTCCTCATCTCCATCTGAGATAATCTCAGCCTGGACTTAATTGTCCATACCACTATCGCATGTTAGTCAAAACCATTCAGCTAGAGTCTAGGAAGTTCTAAACTTTCCCAAATCTTCCTGTTTTCTTCTGAGCCATGCAAACTGCCCCAGCCTCTGCCTGTTACCCAGTTAAAAAGTCTGTTTCACATTTTCAGGTAACTTTATATCAATGCCCCACTTCCCTCAGTACCAACTTTCTGTATTAGTCTGTTTTCACACTGCTATAAAGAACTACCTGAGACTGGGTAGTTTATAAAGGAAAGAGGTTTAATTGAATCACAGTTCCACATGGCTGTGGAGGCCTCAGGAATCTCACAATTATGGTGGAAAGCAAAGGGGAAGCAAGGCATACCTTACATGGCAGCAGGAGAGAGAGAGAGAGAGAGAGGGAGTGCAAGAGGGGGAACTTCCAAACACTTTTAGACCATCGGATCTCACAAGAACTCACTATCACAAGAACAGCATGGGGGAAAATGCCCCCTTGATCCAATCACCTCCCACGAGGTTCCTCCCTCAACACATGGGGATTACAATTTGATGAGATTTGAGTCAGGACACAGATCCAAGTCATATCAACAGTACCATGACATACCCATGGAGAATAGTCTCCTGACAATTTTCTACTTCTAAAATTGGTAAACAATTTCTATTCTGAGGGTGTTTTGTAAAATTCTGAAAATTCAGTTAAATTCTGTCCTGAGGATGTTTTGTAAGATTCAATCATTTGTAAACAGTATAGCCCAGTAACTGGCACAGTGAATGGTCTCAATAAAAATTTATGTCCTCTTATTTACTTTCTCTTCACTTTAACTTTAAAATAATGCAATCAATATAAATATGAAAAGATTTCATTAATGGATTTTTATTATTTTTATTTTTATTATTTAAAAAATTATTATTCTGAATAAACCTACAGACCCCTGTCTATTGTATGTTAGGTCATCAAAATATAAGTCACATATTAAGTATACAAATTTGGGCTGCTGATGGTAAGATTGCCCTGGGAGATAAAGTAATTTATTGTAAAGAAGGTAAACTTTGAACTGCTTATATAAGTCATTCCACTTACTGCCAAAACTGTGATAATTCTCTGTGTCTTAACACAGTATACACGTGCTGACATATATTGGTGGTCAACAAATATTTATTCAATGCATAGACTGATGAATAACAGGTAAGCAATCATTGATCAATACAGTATAAACTATTAATTCAACACCGTATTTGAATCTTCGAAGTGTAAAAATAGTCCATGGAAATAGTCGTGCTGTAAAAGTCATTTACAAGTAGATTACAAATATATTTAAAATTTAAAATACATAAATATTATGAATAATATTTAACAAAACTTTTAAAAAGTTAATGCATAGAAAATGTATATTCATATCTTAAAGGTTATCTCAATATTCTCTCAAAAATAAAAATAAAATGATGACTTCAGATAAGGAAAGAACCTTTTTACATTGTGTCATATTTAGATATAAAATCAACTATAGAAATTTTCCTATGAGTTAATATGTGAATAACTTATTCACTGCTATAAGTAATAATATAGTATTTGTGGACACCACTTGTCAAAATTATTATCATACTTAAACTAGCAAGAATGAAATTTTGGATTAACTGGACAAATGAATGGCATATCTTTCTAGAAAATTATAGAGTGATATTTTGTCAACATTGGTAACTTAGTATACTAGGATTTATCAAAATATTGCCTGTTACTTTGAAGAATCTTAATTGTATCTCCAATACAGAAAAATACATAACTTCTTTTTAAAAGCCTGAATATATTAACAGTGAGCTCTGCTCAAATATAACACAAAAGAAAGTTAGCTAGTAGCCAACACCCAGAGCATAAAGTTATAGAATTTATAACACTTATGATAAATTTGAGAATTAATCATGCATTTGCATTTATGTACTTGAATAATGTTATTAACTTGTATAAATCTATTCCCTGCCTTTCATAAAATGATTTCATGGTAAAGCTAAAGAAA
Organism: Homo sapiens; assembly: GCF_000001405.40. NCBI lineage: Eukaryota > Metazoa > Chordata > Mammalia > Primates > Hominidae > Homo > Homo sapiens. The sequence goes on along the minus strand of NC_000024.10, from coordinate 3,697,918 downwards.
TGTAATAGAGGTTAACTGATAAAGAAATATCATATGAATTTTTTGAAGTACATTTATCAACATACGAAAAATTATGCATTTACATAGAGTTTTTTCTGGAGTTGGTTTCTGAAGTTTCATTCCTGAGTCAAAGTAGTGGGCTGAGGTGTTAAAATGGCATAGCTTTGGGTTCTAGTATCACTATGGCAGTATAAGGCTACCACAGCAAATCTCTTCTGCTCAGTACAACAGACAGTTCTTAACACAATACAAAAAGAATCTATGTGAGGACTCTTAAAGGTATATAAAGGTAATGTTTTAGATCAGAGTCAAATCTTGAAGATGTGTCCTGCATGGGGGATGATATTATCATTTTGTTCTTTTCTCTTTCACGTTTATCCCGGGGGTAACCCAATTACAGAACCATAAAACAGAGAAGAAACATAAATGGCTAAATTGCTAATAGAATTCTCACCTTTCTGTACTGAAGAACTTGGAATTATTGGAAAATAGTTCCATATAAACTGAAGAATGTGGGAGAAAATGTAGGAAGTAAAAATCTGAAAAATGGATACCACTAATTCAATAAGTCTAGAGGTCACTCTTGCATCATGCATGCACAGGAATGACAAAACTCGCATAGTAGAGACTTCAAAAATTAAACTGAGATTGGTACCACCACCCTTGGAAGATGAGACAGAATTTGTAGTTTATGCCTAAATATTTGAATTGCCTGCTAAAAATTAAAGCAACTTTCTCCCTCCAGAGGAGTACAACAGGACCCGGAATCTACACATCATGATATTTAAATGTTCAGGGTATAATCTAAAATTAATTTCACATGGAAAGAAATGTGACACATTTTCACAGGAGAATACTCTCAAAGGATGATATCTACAAGATATCCAAATAACATACAAGTGGCCAACAAACATAAAAAAAGGTTCAACATCACTAAACATCAAAAAAATGCAAATTTAAACCACAATGAGGTACAATCTCACACCAGTCAGAACTGCTATTACTGAAAAGTCAAAAAACAGCAGATGCTGGAGAGGCTGTGGAGAAAAGGGAACACTTAAACACTGTGGATATGTAAATTAGTTCAGTTACTATGGAAAGCAGTTTGGAGATTTCTCAAAGAATTAAAATAGAACTACCATTCAACCCAGTAATCCTATTACTGGGTATATACCCAAAGGTAAATAAATTATTCTACCAAAAAGAAACATGTACTTACATGTTCACTGCAGCACTATTCACAATAACAAAGACATGGAATCAACTAAGGTGCCTATTAATGGTGGACTGGATAAAGAAAATATGGTATGTAATCACCATGGAATACTATGGAGCCATAAAAGAGAATGAAATCATGTTCTTTGCAGAAACATGGATGCAGCTGGAGGCCATGATCCTAAGCAAATCATACAGAAAAAGAAAATCAAATACTGCATGTTCTCACTTACAAGTGGGAGCTAAACGTTGGGTATAGGTAGGCAAAGAGATGGAAACAATAGACAAGAATACTAGAGTGGGAAGGAAGAGCAAAGGGCAAAGGGGGAAAAACTACCTATTGGGTACTAGGCTCACTATCTGGGTGACAGGACAATTCACACCCCTAACCTCAACATCATGCAACATACCCATGTAACAGACCTGCACATGCTCCCCCAGAATCTAAAAGTGGAAATTAAAAAAATTAAAAAAAACCCTCTTCATGCCCATTTCTTTCAGATATATTTGGCTTAAATTCTGCATTATATTAGATTCTATGTCCTTTTAGAAACAGCCAAAAGAAAAATGCAAGGAGTAACAAGGAATGTGCATTTTTTTCATTAAAGAAAGAGATTTTTAAATAATGGAATTATCAGAAAAATACTTTAAATCAGCTAATTTATAACCATTCTCTATAAGGTGAAAAGTAAACACACTTGAGAGTGACGGAAAGTGAATCTGACAAATATACATATGTATGTGTTTATACATACACACGTATATGCTATGAAACAACTGAAAAATTTAGAACTGAAAATACTTTTCTGAAATTTAAAAAATGTACAGGATGTGCTCAGTAGCAGAATAGAGATGATAGAGAGAGTGGATGAATTTGAAGATAAATCATTAGTGATTAATCAATCTGGAAGATAGAAAACAAAACCAAAAAAGGAACAGAACATCAGGGACTAATAGACAAATATCAAAAAGTCAAATACATGAATCATTGCAGTCCAAGATGTAGATTTCTGGGCTGTATGACTGATTGAGAGTATTAACTCCGGTTAAACCCTGCAATTTCCTTGTATTCAGAAGGAGCTGCCACTCTAGGGATGAAAAAGCAGCAAGCATTTATATTACAAAGTATTTGTGCAAACAGAACTTCAGAAATCTCTAATATTCAACTGAGTACTGATCAGCACAAGTATGTGAGGAAATTACCAGTTTAGGGAGAGAATTACCCAAAGGAGTTAGAGGGAACAATACCAAGACCTCACACTGAGCTAAGAAGAGTGCCTGTTTCCAACAATCAAAGCAGTGAACTGTATAATTGATGGGGCATCATTAAAGTACTAAGTAGAATTTTGCATAAGTAGTTGAAAAATTTACTTCTAGAATAAACTATGTTTCAGTATCTTCTAACAAAGCTTAACAGCAAAACCGAAAATATCAAACAAACTATTTCTGGGGTTTTTGTTTGTTTGTTTTTGTTGTTGTTGTTGTTGTTGTTTTGAGACGGAGTCTTGCTCTGTGGCCCAGGCTGGAGTGCAGTGGTGCATCTCTGCTCACTGCAAGCTCCGCCTCCTGGGTTCATGCCATTCTCCTGCCTCAGCCTCCCGCGTGGCTGGCACAGCAGGTGCCTGCCACCACGCCCGGCTAATTTTTTTTATTTTTTTAGTAGAGACGGGGTTTCACCGTGTTAGCCAGGATGGTCTCCATCTCCTGACCTCGTGATCCGCCCGCCTTGGCCTCCCAAAGTGCTGGGATTACAGGCGTGAGCCACCGCGCCCGGCCAATATCAAACTATTTCTAAGTAATGAAAACATGACCAATAACAAATATCCAAAAATTTATAGGTTAACAAAATATTTAGCATCCACAATTTAAAATTCACAATGTATTATAAGCAATTCAAATTTACCAAGCATGCAAAGTAACAGAAAAATACAAATTAATATTGAGGGAAAATCAATTAGTCAAAACAGATACAGAAGTACATTGATTAATAAACATGACATAACAATAATTATTATAACAGTTTTTATTATGTTTAAGAAGCCAGACAAAACATTAAAGCATATTAGGTAGAGAATTGGGAGTTGTATAAAATGATTCAGATCTAACGTCCAGAGATGAAGGTAAGAATGAATGCCTGAGATAAAATTCGCTGGATGGGATAAATGGCAGACTAGATTTTCCACATAGAAAGAATTTGTACACTTGAAGAAAGCAATAAGAAAGCTATGTAAAATAAATCACAGAAAACATGAAACACTAATAAAATTAGCAGAGTGTCAATGAACAGCAAGACAACTTCAAATTGCCTAATATATGTGCAGCTCAAGTCATCGGAATAGATGACATGGAACAAACAGAAATATATTTAGAGATATAATGGCTAGAAATTTTCCAAACTTGAAAATTATAAACCCACAGCTCAGTGAATCCTAACTAGCACAAAAAGCATGAAGCACATCTCACCAAGGTATACCATAATAAAATTTTTTAAATCCAGAGGACAAGAAAAATGTTAGAATCAATAAGAGATAAAAAGATTCTCTAAGCATACACCATTATTTAAAGGTTTATAAATCAGTTACGTGCCCACAGTGAAGTAATAAAATTTGCAAATACAGTAGTAAAAATACATAAAGTTGAATATTACAGATAAGGGTTTAAGATTTTAATGTGTATTAGAGTTGCCCAGTATGCTGGTTAATATTGCACATTCTAGGGCCTCAAACCTGGAATTCCAGTTTCAATAGGTCTGTTGTAGGATCTATGAATCAGCACTGTAACTAGAAAAAAATGGTTAAAATTCTTGTAGCATTTTTACTGAGATAAAATTAACATACAAGAAAATAAAAAATCTTGAGTGCTGTTTGATGTGCTTTGACAATAACATACACACATCTAACTACCAACCAAAATTAGACATAGAACATTTACAACACGCCTGAAAGTTTCCTCACCTAGGGAGACAGTGAAACCCATAGGTAATGACTGTTGATTTCTATTAACATAATGTAGTTTTGTCTATTCATATAAATGGACTTGTATAGTATGTACTTATTTGTGTTTGGCTTCTTGTATTCAATTTAATGGTTTTAGATTCTCTATTTTTTTACATATGAGAATTTGTTTTCTTTTTATTGTTAAGATTTCATTGTATAAATGTATCACAAAGTTTAATCCATTCATGTGTTAATGGGCATTTGTATTATTTCCAATTTTAGATTTTTTTTTTTTTTTTTTTTTTTTTGAGATGGAGTCTTGCTCTGTCGCCAGGCTGGAGTGCAGTGGCGTGATCTCGGCTCACTGCAATCACCGCCTCCCGGGTTCAAGCCATTCTCCTGCCTCAGCTTCCTGAGTAGCTGGGATTACAGGTGTGGTATACCACACCCAGCTAGTTTTTGTATTTTTAGTAGAGCCTGGGTTTCATCATGTTGGCCAGGATAGTATTGATCTCCTGACCTCATGATCTGTCCACCTTGGCCTCCCAGAGTGCTGGGATTACAGGCGTGAGCCACAGCGCCTGGCAATTTTTAGCTATTATGAATTGAAGTGTTATGTACATTCTTATACTTGTCTTCAAGTGGACATAAGCTTGGTTAAGGATCTTAGATATATACATATATATTGCAAATAGTTTTCACAGATAGAGGCTTACATATTTATCCTTTTTATGCTGTCTTTTGATTAGCATAACTAAAAGTTTGACTGTCTCATTTATAATTTTTTGTCCTTATGGTTACTACTTGTGAGCTGACTAGAAGGTCTTCGAGTAACACAATGTGCAGATTTTTTCAATATTTTCTCCTGGAAGTTTTATGAATCTAGATTTAATATTTTGTTCTATAATTTGTCTTGAATTAATTTTTGTTTGTGGACTGAAGTAGGGTAGTTATATCTCTGGAGGCTCTATCTCTCAGTTTTCTTCTGTCTGCAACTTTTAGCATATTATCCCTTAAGATTCTTTGAGGGCCCATGGGAAAGTGTTGAAAGCACTGTACATACTTTTTTAATTGCTGGGGTGTTTGCAGATCCCAATTCAATAAACCGGCTTATACATGTTATCAAAGGTCTGTTCAATATTTGAGTGGTTGCTATTAACAATTATCTATAGTAGATTCCTCTCCTCACAGCACTCTATAAAGGAACAAAGTAAACATGAGCCTCTTCTCTCCTATGAAGGGCTTCTCATGTTCTGCATTTTAGCTGATTTAGTTTTCTTTTTATCCTCAGATTTAAAACTTTTTTAAAAAGAAAAACTATGCCTTTGTAACTTACCTGGCTTATTATTGAAGTTAGACAACAATAATCTTTTGTGACTTGCTACATCCTAAGTGATACAGGAAGTGCTTAGAGCATACTCTGATGAATGTGAATCCAGGCTCTTACTTTGACAAACACTTCTGTAGAGTAATGAAAAGATTTTAGCACCAGTTAATTTCAAATTGCCCTGTTTCCTACAATGATGTGTAAAAAATTTTTGTCTGCTAAAGAGTACGGATAATATTCTAGTAGAACTACCATTCTAGCTGTTCGTAAAAGATTATTCTATCCACCAAACACTTTATTTTTTCCTGTATTTTTACTATAATATAGGACAGTTAATTCATTTACCTAAATTTACTAAACTAGTAGCATGGCTGATCTGTCAATCTTTTGCCTTTGTGAAAACAAAAGTCATGGGAGAGAAGTAATATACCCTAATGCTCATATGATATAATCTGGTGTAATATAAACATATATTTATTTTAATTTATTATTTTTTGCAAATAACATTAAAAGTAATATCTATATTTTCAAATGAAGAGTACTAGTACCTGGCATATATAAGTAGCTGGGTTAGAATAAATCAACACACTATATGTTTCCTTTTCTTTTCTTTCTTCTTTGTTAGTAAAATTTATGTTTGGTATCAGATTCCTAGAAACTTTTAAGAACTGACTCCAGTTTGTCTCTGTTTCTGTATACGTTTGTGTGTGTATATAGAACCCTTTACACAGCGAAGCATTTCTTTAGCATAAGGAAGGTGTATTACTCCATTCTTGCACTGCTATAAATACCTGAGACTGGGTCATTTATAAGAAAAGAGATTTAATTGGCTTATGGTTCCATAGGCTGTACAGGAAGCATGGCATCATCTGCTTCTGGAGAGGCCTCAGGGAACTTTTACTCAAGGTAGAAGGCAAAGTGGGAGGAGGCGCCTTACAATGCAGTAATAGGACCAAGAGAGGGAGAGGGGAGGTGTTACAGAGCTTTAAACAACCATATTTTGTGAGAACTCAAAGCTCCAAGGAGAATGGTGTTAAACCATGAGAAACCACCCCGGTGATCCAGTTACCTCCCACCAGGCCCTACCTCCAATATTACAATTCAACACAAGATTTGGACAGGAACACAGATCCAAACCGTATCAGAAGGTAAATTTTTGTTATATATTTTTGCCTCTGAATGTTTTAGACATTTTTAATAAAAACTTGCTGTGAGAGGAAAACTAATTTCAGTAATTCAGATAAAGCAGCTTGAGATTGAATGCATAATTTATTTTAAAATATTCATTTACTTTCTACTTTTTGAGTACATATCATGCTGTTTTTACTCACTTGATACAAAAAAGGTTCAAATAAAATTATAGTGAAGAGCTAATAACAAAGTTAAATGTCCTAGTTTATTTTGCATTGCCATACAGAGTACCAGAGACTGGGTAATTAATTTAAAAAATTGAAGTTTATATGCCTCAGGGTTTTGAAGGCTGAGAAGGCTAAGAGCTGGCTTCTAATGAAGGTCTTTGTGATGCAGCAAAACATGGCAGAAGACAGAAGGGCAGGTGAGTACATCAGACAGAAAGAAAGAGGGTATAACTCATGCTTTTGATCAGGAACCTACTCCCGGGATAATTAACTCATCCCCATGGCATATGGCAGCAACCCATTCTTACTATTCTCACCTCTTAATATAATCACAACAGCCATTAAATTTCAACATGGATTTTGGAGGAAACATTCAGACTATAGCATTAAGTGAATAATGAATACTGCTCTTAGCACAGTGGATAGAATCAAAACCTGTGCTTTCTCCTTTCTGTTTGTGTGATCAAGTACAGAAGTACTCAAAGGGATGTTCGTGTTTTGGAGGTGGTGAATTAGTAGCGGGCAATCTATGAACCAATTAGTCAATTCAAGTTATCAAGCATAAATAACAAATATACAAAATTCAGTGGATGGTGCAATTAATGGTTTAAACCATCAGTTTCAATTGTAATTTTCAGTTATATGTTGGGTATCATGTGAGTGGATTCTACACAACTGTCTCAACGTATTTATTCAAAGAATAGATTCCTACTGTCATATGTGACTAGCTGCTGAAATAACTGAACATGACAATGCTTTGACCCTCTGCATTGTTTTATGTGATGTTTGAGCTGTTAGAGGAATCACAAAAGATATATTTTAAGTGTTGAAGATAATTAATAGGGGTTATAACTTTTTTTCTTTTTTTTTTTTTTTTAAGATGGACTCTCACTTTGTCACCCAGGCTGGAGTTCTGTGGCGCGATCTCGGCTCACTGCAACCTCTGCCTCATAGGTTCAATTAATTCTCTCACCTCAGCCTCTGCAGTAGCTGGGATTACAGGCATGCACCACCATGCCTGGGTAATTTTTCTATTTTTAGTAGAGACGGATTTCACCATGTTGGCCAAGCTGGTCTCGAATTCTTGACCTCAAGTGATCTGCCCACCTTCACCTCCCAAAGTGCTGGAATTACAGGTGTGAGCCACTGTGCCCAGCCCAATGTTATAGCTTTTCATAATATCTCACCATATGGCCCATCATTATGGGATATTGCTTAGTATTATTGTACTTTATGTTTGATAATAGATACTTTAATTACTTTTTAAACTGAGTTTTATAATATGTCATTTGAAATTATGAACTGATTCATTTGTTATGCATGCTTTTAAACCTTCAGAATTATGAGAAATTGCCCATGATATTCTCACAGACAAATCATATATGTTTTAATATGTATTGATTTTCACCTTGGGTGCTTTCTTTATTCGAGAAATTTTCTTCAGAATTTAGGGGGGTAAACTCTCGTGTCAGACATTTTGGGTTCAAATTATAGCCCTGCCTCATGCTAAAAATATAACCTTGAATAAAGCACATAATCTCTCTAACTCAGCTGTTTCATCTGTAAAGTAGACATATTGAAAGTACCACCTTTATAGCACTGTCGTGAGGATCATTTCAGTAATAAAATATAAAATATAACTTGCCGCATTGAATGGGAAACATTAAATGATAACTACATTTTGTAATATTGCCTAACTTACAAATTTGAGAATGACTTATGACTCAACTGAACCACACACACACACACACACACACACAGTGATTAATTTTATTATACAAATTAATTGATATAATATTTAAATTTTATAGTCTTCTGAAGTAAAGATATATATATGTACTTTTATGAGAAAATTATTTTTATTTAATTAAAAATTAAATCATTTCTACTTTAAGATGCACTAACATTTAGAAATTATAAGGAAAACTTTTAAATTTCTAATTGAAGTATGATTTTTTTCCCCTTTATGATAACCTTCTTCTAGTAAGGAGCTTTTTAAATTACCTAATAATTTGCACTGTAGAATTATATTTACAATTATAAATATAAAGAAAAAATAAATTATCTGGGTAAATATGTTCTCAGATACCTTACATATACTTCATTATAAAATTTAAAAATCTTGATTCAATTAAAAATTATGAAATTATTGCTGTATATGCTGTGGTAGATCCTCTATTTTAAAATTAAGCCAGCTGTGGGAATCTGACCCAATGGCAGCCAATTAGTAGAGTTTTCTTTGAAATGTCATGAATGAAATAAAAACAAAGACCAGAAACCTTTCTTTAAAGTTTTAGCTGTTTTCCATATTAATAAATGTATAGGTGTACATGAGTGTGCGTGCACACATACATACACATACAAATAAACAAACACATACCTCCTTTTGAAAAAAAGTGTTTATGGACAAATAGCCAGTAAATATGTCCTCATAAATGGGTTGTTTTCAAAATAAAATAACATTTGAATTGTGTTATTTTTCTCTCAAATTCTATAAGTGAGCTCATGTGAGTAGCACATCAAAATTTTTTCAGCACTGACACATTCATTTGAAACAAGAGAAACTGTCATTTGTTTAATGTTTTATGGACCAAATAAAAATATTAGAAAAACTTCTGTGTTGATTGCTATTCAAAACCATTTATTAAAATTCCACAAAATATAATGTGAAGCAAAGCTAGCTTAGGTAAAATAAATTCTTACAAAAAATGATAAGAACAGACTTACAAACTGATTTTCAATCATATTTATATTTGATTTTGACATTTTTCAAATTTTAGGATAACAAAGTACTACAGAAAAATAAGAATATTTTCATTTGTATTAAAACATTCAAATATAAATTTTGAGAGGAAACATTGTTCCATTAGTGAGATATTCAGCCATCTCAATGGATTATAATTGAAACGAGACACTTATCTATAAAATTCTGAATAAAATCTTAAGGCTAATGCATGTTTCACTCTCTGATTGAAATATATAACTACTTAAATTGGCTTCCAGAAAAGCAGGGACTGAAGAGTTCTAGGTTGTGCTACTGTCTTAATGACTCAGCCTTATGTTTAGGGAGACTACACGTAGTGGAATTTCTGGAGATTTTACTAATGAGGTCTTACCAAGAATATGAACTGTGAAAGACTTAAACAGAACATGAAATATCTTACTACAAATGCCTATTGAAACCTTTATTTAGCTCTTTGAGAAATTGCCACACTGCTTTCCATGATGGTTGAACTAACTTACACTCCCACCAACAGCGTATAAAGATTCCCTTTTCTGCACAACCTCGCCAACATCTGCTACTTTGCAACTTCTAGTAATAGCCACTCTGACAGGTATGAGATGATATCTCACTGTGGCTTTGATTTGCATTTCTCTAATGCTCAGTGATAATTGAATTTTTTTTTCACATGCTTGTTGGCCACATGTATGTCTTCTTTTGAAAAGTGTGCTCATGTCCTTTGCCTCCTTTTTAATGTGGCTCTTGGTGTTTTGCTTGTAAACTTGTTTAAGGTCCTTACAGATACTATATATTAGACCTTTGTCAAATGCATAGTTTGCAAATATTTTCTCCTGTTCCATAGGTTGTCTGTGTACTCTGTTGATAGTTTCTTTGGCTATGGTGAAGCTCTTACATTTAAATACATCCTATTTGTAAATTTTTGCTTTTACTATCATTGCTTTTGGGATCTTTGTCATGAAATCTTTGCCAGTTTCTAGGTCCAGGATGGTATTTTTCTAGGTTGTCCTCCAGGGTTTTTATAGTGTTGGTTTTCACATTTAAATCTTTATTCTGCCTTGAGTTGATTTTTGTATGTGAAGTAAAAAATGGGTGCAGTTTAAACCTTCTCCATGTGGCTAGCCAGTTATCCCAACACCATTTATTGAATAGGAGGGAGTCTTTTCTCCATTGCTTGTTTTTGTCACTTTGTCAAAAATCAGATAATTTTAGGTGGGCAGCCTTATTTCTGGGCTCTATATTCTGTTCCATTAGTCTATGTGTCTGTTTTTATACCAGTGCCACACTGTTTTGGTTACTGTAGCCCTGTAGTGTATGTATGTATACCTGTGTATATATATATTTCTTTTTACACAAATAAACCAACTTTAGTAGATATTATTTTGTATTTATATAGAGCCTTCTTCAAGAACCTTAAGTGCTTTACAGACGTTATCTCTAATTAATCCCCACAACAACACTGTGAGGTAAGTATTACTCTCATTTTACAAGATACGGAGACTGAAGTACAGAGAGGTTAAGTGACTTGCCCAAGGTCACACAGTTAAATTCACTGAAGAGCCAGGACATGAGTGCTTTAGCCTCCCAGCTCCCAGCCAAATACTTCATGATGGAATCTTTAATAAAAAGTGTTTTTAAGAAAGTATGAAGAGTAGTTATGTTATGAAAATGAGGTCTTTCTACTGCCATCAAGGAAAGAAAAAACCCTATACTGATGGTTAGAGGCCACAAGACCCACATAATACAGCATTTCCTTCTTTCCCTGTGCCCAAACCTCCTGGTTCCTGTCTTAAATAATCTTTTAAAGGTAAAGTTTCCAAGACAGAAGCCATGAGACTTAAGAAGTGGGATTTAATTTAGAATATTTACTTTTAGTTACAATAATTTATAGAAATATTTATTCCAATATACAAAATATGGGACAGCCATCCCAACAATCATGTACATAGTTACATGGCAATCAGCCACCATTTACAACTTACACCAGCCTCGCATTTTAATCACAGTCAACCAACATACAACCTCACAATGCTTTCTTCATGGGTCACTTTTCTTACTATACCTGTATTTTTCCCCCAACCCTGACCCTATATATTTTAAAAGTATACTGAGTTTCTGATAAACTTCAAAACATTTTACTTAGATCCAGCTGCATTAAGAAGAAAAAGTAAATGTGAAACTGTCACCCCACAGTCCCTCCCCTGACAAATCATACTACGAAGTATGGTGCAGATGTGAACAAAGTATGTGACTACCAGGAACTCAATACATATACTAGAACTTGCTTTAATATGAAATTTAACTTGGCTTTTACTGTATTTTTTTTGGCAAAAATGTAAAAACAAACACAACATAGTATTTCAATGCTGTACCTTTATGCAAATGACTTCATCTATCTTTCTTAAACATGTTGTGATATAGCTAATGTTAAAACTGACACAGCTTCACTTTCCCCTTTTTCTCTGTACTGAAAGTTGCAGAAATACAGCTTTAAGTCCAAAACAATTTGGTTTAAGCCCTCAAAATAAAAAGTGTGCATCCACTTCCACTGCCCTAACTTTCCCCACATTGTTGATTGTGATTCTCTGGCATGTTGGTAGATCAGGCAGGCTGTATATCATTTGTACAAAACATCTCTAGCCAGGGTAAGGCTTTAGAAACTATTTTAAAAAGAAACTTGCCAAAATACTTTTGATATTTAGTACAAATACTAAATATTATAATTTTCTCCCAGCACATCTGTTTAAGCAGCCCAGTTACCTAAATGACCCTGTTAAAAGTCTGCTTATGGAACAAATAGGTGAAGTAATTTCCTGAGCCAAAAGGTACAGATAACAAATGTTAATAATAGCAGCAGACTAAAAACATTCCATTTTGTTGTTTGTTTTCCGTAGTCAACAGTCTTAGCAAAAGAACTTTAGAAAATGGCAGATTTTTTTTTAAAATTTACTGCTTGAAAAGAGTTTAATAAAGAACATCCAAGGCCTGATTGCTATTATTCTCAATATAACTTTCAATAACTTTCTGCAAGTTACATTTGGCTACTGTCAGACAACTTACTGATACATGGAAAAATGTCCAAAAAAACTGCAGTGGTTTACATACATTTTACATTACATATATTACTTCTTAAAACCCCCAATAGAATGAAGTCTTAGCAAACACAAATTTTAATTTCTGAACACCCTTCCAGTAAGATTTGTAAAGGTGGGGGGAAGGGGAGGAAGGACTTGTTTTTTATATTCCTAGTCTACTTGATTAAAATGTAATCTTCAAAGGGTTTGTTTAGCTCACTATCCAGGCTGTTAGGGTTATGATGAACATTATTACTTCTTTCCAAGGTAAAAAATGATATCTGAAAATAACATAAATGCTATGACATGATTTTCCCAAGCATGGCCTCAACTTGAAACATTAGAATTCTTAAGAATTCTAAAGATTGGTATACCACCACTGCACCAGAATTTTTAATTATTCCAACAACTACAGGAATTTTTTATATAGTTTTTTAATTTTATGAAATTAAAGCTGAAGAAAATAACTGATTTAGATGCCATAATAAAAGGACAAATATTTAGCCAGAGATATCAGTTCCTCCTGAAAAGGATATTTACCTCCTCTCATTGCAGTTTTTCTCAAGGTATCTTACTGATTTCAGATATAATTTAAAATTCACCTTAAAAATAGAAACAAACAAAAGGACCAGTTAAAATGACATTAACTGATAAAAATATGCTCAAATTTACTGACAGAATCATGGGCACTTCATACAATACTTAGACTCTACCAGCTTTAAGTAAAATAAATAAGGAAAAAATTATAATTACATAGCCAGTCTTTCCCCTTGTGGAAACAAAAAGCCACTTTTGACCAATTGCTCCCTACATATACATATACTGTATATTATTATAAGCTTCTTCAGAGAAGCAAAGCATCTTTGTCTTCCTGACACTGGATTATCTAGCATGTTAGTTTTTACATCAGGAAAGCAACTGCAAGTGTTGGGCCCAAAAGTATTTCTGGTTTACTCTTGAAAAGACCACTGAATATGCTTCTATACATACTGAACCAGGCAAATTTATGCAGTGCGTTCAACATCATCTCCTTACCAATACAGTCCAGATTCCGATTCTTTCTACCGCACCCCTAAGGAATTCAAAGCATTATTGGTGCAATTAGCAAAGAGAAAATGCCTGTCAATGACTGGAAGGCTGTTTTACAAGAGAAGCTGGTATGGATTTCACCTCCTTGTTGTATGGAACTGTACAGACAGCATGATACCTGAGCAAATAAATCAACTACCATGATCAGAAGGGCTTGTCAATCCATCGTTTTTGCTTTATCGTGTGCAAAGCCTGCTACTGACCCCTGAGCTTCCTGCATTTCTCTTTTCTTGAAAAATCAGTGCTTGATCCTTTCCAAAATAACCAGAAAAGAAATGAGGCAGAAAGTATCTCTTCATCGCAGTTCCCCCTCAGTCCCGAGACTGATAGAAAAGGATGTAACCAGACTCAGAGTTCTTTGAGTATCTGATGTCAACCCGTAGAATTCTTCAATAGCTTGTGTATCTATTTTTCTACAATGTCTCATCAAACAACAATCAAAAATCATGACTCTTAACTATCGCAATATAATGGCCTCGATTGGGACCACTTCCACAGTGAACCACAACAGCAACAAGGTCGTACATTCTGTCTGGATTGGTGGCATCACCTGAAGTGTTAAATAGACGAAGTTCTAAAGGAAAAACCACCCGGTAAGAGAGTTTTGTATATCGATGAAGTTGATCCATATATTTAAATCTCTTCAAGTGTAGAGCTAGAATCATGGGCAGTTTTTAAACTTTCATCTGTTTGTGTGCTTCCTGTTTGCTGCGACACTCTTCACAGTAATACTTGTATTAACTGCATAGAGTTTCTGTGTTGCTGAAACCCCTTAAGCAGTGAGTAATTGATGTATTTTGTTCCACGTCAACAGAAAGGTCTAAAAAATCTTCATCTTTGCTGCTTATAGTTTCGCAAGTAAGACTTCTGGTTTCATTAGTTAACGTTCCCCAAAAAATCTCATGAACCCACGTTGGGTCTGGTGTGCTGCTATTATTTTCATTATCAATATTATCATTAGGTTAGCGACCATTTTGTTTTTCCTGCTTTCTCTCTTCTTGTAAAATATCACCAATTGTATTTAGTAGGTAATTTAAGAATTCATGGGCATCTTGTTGCATGTAGTTGTCGAAAAGCTCATTTTATTTCTGTAATCTTGTGATGAACTTCTTCGGAGGTATTACTCCAACCTTTTTCTTCTGAGTGGCTATGCTGTGGAAGAGATCTGCTAAGCATGTAAGAAAGCTCTCCTTTTTCCTAGGTTGACTCTTATATGCAAGAACTTTTTCCCGAAACGGACGACAAAAATAAGTGCTTGAAGAACTGAATTGCAGTAGCAGGTATTCCCAAAATTGACTAATCCAAAATAATGCTCGTTGACCGGAAACTGTTCTGGACCAATCTCTTTCTCTAACGCCGAAGCATTGGCGCCCATGGTACAGATGGAGGCGAATTTGGAGACTGTCATTAGGATTTCCATCTGGCCAGCGCCATCTTCCACCCAATCATAGTGGCGGAGCCGGGTGGGGGAGGACGGGAGCCGGGCCCCCCGCTTGCACTGTAGCCCGCGGGTGGACCCCGAGCCGCCGCCGACCCACGCACCGAGCCCACTAGGCCTCCACTGCCGTCATCGCCGCCGGTCCCTCAGGTACTCCCGGGCCTAGTCCCCGTCAGCTGGCCGCTTTTTTTTTTTTTTTTTTTTTTTTGAGTTGTTTTTTTTTTTTTTTTTTTTTTTGAGTTTCCTCTCTGTCGCCCAGGCTGGAGTGCAATGGCGCGATCTCGGCTCACTGCAACCTCTGCCTCCCGGGTTCAAGCGATTCTACTGCCTCAGCCTCCTGAATAGCTGGGAATACAGGCGCGTGCCACAATGCCCAGCTAAATTTTGTATTTTTAGTAGAGATGGGGTTTCACCATGTTGGTCAGGCTGGTCTCGAACTCCTGACCTCGTGATCCGCCCTCCCCAAGTGTTGAAATTACAGGCGTGAGCCACTGCGCACGGCCCCGCCCTGTAGTATATTTTGCAGTTGGGTACCGTGATGCTTTCATTTCTGTTCTTTTTGCTTAGGATTGCCTTAGCTACTCAGGTTCTTTTTTGTTTCCATATGAATTTTATAATAGTTTTATCTAGTTCTTTGAAGAATATTATTGGTAGTTTGATAGGAATAGCACTGAATCTGTAAATTGTTTTAGGCAGTATGACCATTTTAGTGATACTGATTTTTCCTGTTCATGAGCATGGAATGGCTTTTCATTTATTTGTGTGATCTCTGATTTCTTTCTGCATTGTTTTGTAATTCTCACCATAGAGCTCTTTCACCTAACTGGCTAGCTGTATCATTTTTTTGTGGCAGTTGTAAATGCAATTGCATTCCTGATTTGGCTCTCAGCTTGGCTGTTGGTGAATAGGAATGCTAATGATTTTTGTGCATTGATTTTGTATTCTGAAACTTTGCTAAAGTTGTTTATCAGGTTAAGAAGCTTTGTGGCCATGACTATGGGGTTTTCTAGATATAGAATCATTTCTTCTGCAAACAGGGGTAGTTTGACTTTCTCTCTTCCTATTTGGATGCCATTTATTTATTTCTCTTACATTATTTCTCTGGCCGGGACTTCCAATACTATGATGAACAGGTGTGGTGGGACAGGGCATCCTCATCTTGTGCCAGTTTTCAAGGGGAATACATTCAGCTTTTGACTGTTTAGTATGATTTTGTCTGTGGATTTATGATAGATGGCTCTTATTATTTTTAAGTTGTTCATTACTGGGTAACATATAGGAAAATAAATATAGTAAAATAAAAGGAATAGAAGTTGTTCTACCACAAAGACACATGTATGCATATGTTCATTGTAGCACTATTCGCAATAGCAAAGACATGGAATCAACGAAAATGCCCATCAATGACAGACTGGATAAATAAAATGTGGTACATATATACCATGGAATACTATGCAGCCAGAAAAAAGAATATTATATCCCTTCTGGGAACGTGGGTGGAACTGGAGGCTATTATTCTAGCAAACTAATACAGGAACAGAAAACCAAATACTGCATGTTCTCACTTGTAAGTAGAAGCTAAATAATGAGAACACATGGCAACAAAAAGGGGAACAAAAGATACTTAGGCCTACTTGAGGGTGGAGGGTGGAAGGAGAAGGAGAATCAGAAAAAATAACTATTGGGCACTATGCTTAGTACCTGGGTGACAAAATTTGCACAAGCCCCTACAACATGAGTTTGTCAATATAAAAATCCTGCACATGTACCCCTAAACCTAAAATAAAACTTGTTTAAAGACAATTTTACTTTAGCCAGCCTGGCGCGGTGGCTCACGCCTGTAATCTCAGCACTTTGGGAGGCCGAGGTAAATGGATCATGAGGTCAGGAGTTCGAGACCAGCCTGACCAACATGGTGAAATCCTGTCTCTACTAAAAATACAAAAATTAGCCTGGTGTGGTGGCATGTGCCTGTAATTGCAGCTACTCAGGAGTCTGGGCAGGAAAATCGCTTGAACCCGGGAGGCGGGGGTTGCAGTGAGCGGAGATCACGCCATTGCACTCCAGCCTGGGTGACAGAGCGAGACTTCATCTCAAAAAAAAAAAAAAAAATGTCTTACTTTAAGTTCTGGAATACATGTGCAGAATGTGCAGGTTTCTTACATAGATATACATGTGCCATGGTAATTTGCTGCACCTATCAACCCATCATCTAGGTTTTAAGCACTGCATGCTTTAGGTATTTGTCCTAATGCTCTACCTCCCCTTGCTTCCTACCCCTGACAGGCCCCAGTGTGTGATGTTCCCCTCCCTGTACCCATGTGTTCTCATTGTTCAACTCCCAGTTATGAGTGAGAACATGAAGTGTTTTGTTTTCTGTTCCTGTATTAGTTTGCTGAGAATGATGGCTTCCAGCTTCATTCATGTCCCTGCAAAGAACATGAACTCATTCTTTTTTATGGCTGCATAGTATTCCATGGTATATATGTGCTGCATTTTCTTTAGTCTGTCATGGATGGGCATTTGGGTTTGTTCCAAGTCATTGCTATTGTGAACAGTGCCACAATAAAAATACATGTACATATGTCTTTATAGTAGAATGATTTATAATCCTTTGGGTATATACCCCATAATGGGATTGCTGGGTCAAATGGTATTTCTGGTTCTAGATCCTTGAGGAATTGCCACACTGTCTTCCACAATGGTTGAAATAATTTACACTCCCACCAACAGTGTAAAAGCGTTCCTATTTCTCCACGGCATCACTGGCATCTGTGGTTTCCTGACTTTTTAATAATTGCCATACTAACTGGTGTGAGATGGTATCTTACTGGTTTTGCTTTGCATTTCTTTAATGACCAGTGATGATGAGCTTTTTTTCATATGTTTGTTGGCCACATAAATGTCTTCTTTTGAGAAGTGTCTGTTCATATGTTCATATTCTTTTCCCACTTTTTGATGTGGTTTTTTTTTCTTGTAAATTTAAGTTTCTTGTAGATTCTGGATATTAGCCCTTTCTCAGATGGATGGATTACAAAAATTTTCTCCCATTCTGTAGGTTTCTTGTTCACTCTGATGATAGTTTCTTTTGCTGTGCAGAAGCTCTCTAGTTAAATTAGATCCCATTTGTCAATTTTGACTTTTGTTGCAAATGCTTTTGGTGTTTTAATCATGAAGTCTTTGCCCATGCCTACGTCCTGAATAGAAAAAAAACTACTTTAAATTTCACATGGAACCAAAAAGGGGCCTGTATAGCCAAGACAATTCTAAGCAAAAACAACAAAGCTGGAGGCATCATGCTACCTAACTTCAAACTACACTACAAGGCTACAGTAACCAAAACAGCATGGTACTAGTACCAGAACAGATATATGGACCAATGACCAATGGAACAGAACAGATACCTGAGATATAACACCACACATGTACAACCATCTGATCTTTGACAAACCTGACAAAAATGAGCAACAGGGAAAGGATTCCCTATTTAATAAATGGTGCTGGGAAAACTGGCTAGCCATATGCAGAAAACAGAAACTGGACTCCTTCCTTACACCTCATACAAAAATTAACTCAAGACGAATTAAAGTCTTAAATATAAAACCATAAAACCCTAGAAGAAAACCTAGGCAACTTTTTTTTAAAATAAAAGAAATAAAACCTGTATTTGAACAGTATTAAGGCATTTTACAGTGCTTATTCTGTGTTGTATCAGCACCATTGTAACACGCTATGTACAATATAAGTAGTAGGTAAATTCAGCCTTCAATCTACTGGTGCATCACCATTGTTTACATTAAATGACAACAATGTAAAATCATAATTTTTAACTTTTTTCAGAAGCAGAAGCAAATGTAGGAAAGATGATTTCTAATATAAGAGAATTATGCATAATTTTGGTATTTGGCTTTCTTGCCTTTATAGGATTACCACTTTACAATAAATGAGAAAGAAAGGTGCAAAGTCATTTTCCTAAAAAAGAGCATGTAGAGTCTTAAAAATGTTATAGAACCAGTCCATCATCAACAGCTATTTCGAAGCACAAGACTAATAATTGTCTGTATGTATATACCATTGCTAATGGCTAAATTACAAAGGGAAACTTGTAGAATGCGTGCTTCTTAAAATGTCTTTATAATGCACATTTTCAAAGGAGAAGACATACTTACTATAACAACTGAATTTCTTTGAGTCTGTGTAAAGGAGATGTTTGCACTCTCAGAATAATATAGATTTCTTTAAAAGCTTTTCCCAAGGGAAAATTTATACTTTCATTTATAGTTTCTATGTAATTTTCCCATAAAGTATAGTATGCAATTTGGTTTTATATGCAAAACAGAGCTGTGTCTTCAAATTTACATAGTCACATAAGATAATATAGGTATAAATCAACATTTATAAATCTAATAATCACATAATAAAGAAATAAAGTAATGTAATACCATTTATACATGTATAGAGAGACAGAGAGATAAAGGCAGCAGTAGAGATAGGAAGAGAGATAGAGAGAGAAAGACGGAAACAGAGAGAGAGAGATTTATTATGGGAATTGGTTCATGAAATTATGGAGACTGAGAAGTCCCACCATTTTTCATGTGCAAGCTGGAGAATCATGAAAGCCAGTGATATAATTTTGTATACTTCTAAAGGCCTGAAAACTGCGGGATCCACTGGTGTAAGTCCTGGAGACCACAGGCCTGAGAACCAAGAGCGTCAATATCTAAGAGCAGAAGACGAATGTTCCAGTTCAAGAAGAGAGATAATTTGCCCTCCTTCTGCCTTTTTGCTATATTTGGGCTCTCAGTAGATTGGCTGACACCTGACAGATTGTTAAAAGTGGTTTGTCTTTACTCAGTCTATTGATTCAAATGCCAGCATCTTCCAGAAACACTCTCACAGACATACTCAGAAATTATGTTTTTCCAGCTCTTGGGGCATCGCTTAGCCCAGTTAAGTTGATGCCTAAAGTTAACTATTACAACAGCCTTTGGAGTCTGACTACTGCCACGTGCATTTGAAATTCAGGCATTTTATTGTTTGTATCACTATTTTTTTTTTTGCCAAATTGTATTCAATTATGTAGATATACAAATGTTTATTTGTGTATACAGTTGAAGAACATTTTACTTGTATTCAGTTTTGGTTGATTACAAGGAAAGGATACTATAAACATTGACATATAGGTTTATATATGAATATATTTTTTATTTCACTTGGGTAAAAACCTAGGAGTGTAGTTTCTAGAAATGACGAGTATTTGCTGCACTTTATTTTTAAAAAAATGACCAAAATGTTTTCCATATTAGATGCACACTTCCTCATTCCTACCAGTAATATATGAGTGTTCCAGTTACTCAGCATACTCAGATTTAAAAAAAAAAAAACCCATTTTCATTTTAAAATGCATTTCCAGAATGCCTAATAATGTTAAGAATTTTATATTGCACTTACCTGTCAATTATATTTCCTCAGTGGTGAAGTTTTTAAATCTTTCATCTATTTTATTGGAGTATTTTGTTGTTGTTGTTGTTGTTGTTATTGAGTTTTTCAAGAGTTATTTTTGTGTTCCTCATAGAAAGCCATTATTAATTACAGAATTTATAAATATTTCCCCCAAAAAAAACTGCCTTTTTTATCCTCTTCGCATGTCTTTGAAAGAGTGGTATTTTGAGCTTACAACTGGAAGGACCAAGGTGGCCAACTAGAAGCAGCAATGATCAGAGGCTCCCATCGAAAAGATCCCAAACAGCATGGAATCCTGCACTGGAAACTAAGGTATCTAGATTTTGTCATTAGCACTGACTAGGCTTCTGGCATTACGCAGAGAGAGGAAGGAAGAGCAGTGGAAGGAAGCCTCCCACCTAAGGGCCACACAGGGCAGGGGGGCCCCACCCTCAGCCAAGGGAGGCAGTGAGTGAGCTGAGTGTGCTATCCAGCCTGGGAAACCGTGCTTTCTCCACAGAACTGTGCAACACATGGATCAGAGGATCCCACTCGTGAGCCCATGCCACCAGGGCTTGGCTCCCAACCATAGAGGTGTGCAAATTCTCAACAGCCACTTGTTCTAGAATCTGCCTAAGCCTGCCAAGTTCCAGGGGAAGGGGCGGCCATCACCACTGCTGCAGCTGCCTGCTTTCTAAGCCAGCTGAGCTCTTTGGGGGAAGGGTGGCAGCAACACTTCCACTGCAGGGACTCCCTGCAAGAACTCCAACAGCTCCAGCTAGGGGCTCAGGAACAAAACTCTGATCTCCCTGGGACTGAGCCCCTAAGGGGATGGTTGGTCTTAGTCTCCACAGACCAGGAGACTTAGTCTTTCCTCCTACTAGCTCTGAGGAATCTGGGAAGCCCTGATGAGTGAGTTTCCCTCCAGTGCTGCACACCCCCTCTACCAAGGGACAGCCAAAGTGCTTTGTTAAATGAATCCTGCTTCCCATGCCATCCAACTGGCTGAGACCCCCCCTACTGCCCCAACAAACAAGGGTTGTCAGACACTCTAAACAGGAGCATTCCTACTGGCATCAGGTCAGTTCCCCTCGAGGTCAGAGATCCCAGAATAAGGAGAAGGCATCCATGTTTGCCCTTCTCCAGGCTCCTTGAGTGACATCTCCAGGTGCAGGAGGGAACCAGATAAAGGGGGCCTGAAGTTAACCCCCTGGCAAACCACAGCAGCCCTACAGAAGAGGGACCTGACTATTGAAAGAAAAATAAACAAACAGAAAGCAACAACAACAGCATCAACAAAAGTCCCCACAGAAACTTCATCCAAGGGTCAACAGTTTCAAAGATTGAAACTAGACAAACTCATGAAGATGAGAAAGAATCAGCAAAACAAACAAAATGCTGAAAACCCAAAAGGCCAGAGTGCCTCTTCTCCTCCAAATAATTGCAACACCTCCCAGCAAGGGTGCAGAACTGGACGGAGAATGAGATGGATGAACTGACAGAAGTAGGCTTTAGAAAGTGGGTAATAACAAACTTCGCTGAAGTAAAGGAGCATGGTCTAACCCAATGGAAAGAAGTTAAGAAACTTGTTAAAATGTTACAGAAGCTGCTAACTAGAATAACCAGTTTAAGGAGGAACATAATGACCTGATGGAGCTGAAAAACACAGCATGAGAACTTTGTGAAGCATACACAAGTATTAATAGCTGAATCAATCAAGTGAAAAAAAATGTCAGAAATGAAAGACTATCTTGCTGAAATAAGGCAGGCAAAAAAAATAAATAAAAAGGAACAAACAAAACCTCCAAGTAATATGAGACTATGTAAAAAGACCAGTATCTGAAAGAGAAGGAAAAAATGGAACCAAGTTGGAAAACACACTTCAGGACATTATCTAGGAGAAATTCCTGAACCTAGCAAGACAGGCCAACATTCAAATTCAGAAAATACAGAGAATTCCACCAAGATAGTTCATGAGAAGATCAATTCCAAGACAGATAATCATCAGGTTCTCCAAGGTTGAAATGAAGGAAAAAATGTTAAGGGCAGCCAGAGAGAAAGGCCAGGTCACCTACAAAGGGAAGCCCATCAGACTAACAGCAGATCTCTCAGCAGAAAACCTACAAGCCAGAAGAAAGTGGGGGCCAATATTCAACATTCTTTTTTTTTTTTTTGAGACGGAGTCTCGCACTCTTGCCCAGGCTGGAGTGCAGTGGCGCGATCTCAGCTCACTGCAAGCTCTGCCTCCCGAGTTCATGCCATTCTCCTGCCTCAGCCTCCTGAGTAGCTGGCACTACAGGCACCCGCCACCATGCCCGGCTAATTTTTTGTATTTTTAGTAGAGACGGGGTTTCACCGTGTTAGCCAGGATGGTCTTGATCTCCTGACCTTGTGATCCTCCCGTCTCGGCCTCCCAAAGTCAACATTCTTAATGAGAAGAATTTTCAACCCAGAATTTAATATCAGGCCAAATTAAGCTTCATAAGAGAAGGAGAAATAAAATCCTTCTCAGACAAGCAAATGCTAAGGAAATTCATCACCACAAGGCCTGCTTGCAAGAGCTCCTGAAGGAAACACTAAATATGGAAAGGAAAAACCAGTACCAGCCACTGAGAAATTCACCAAAACATAAAAACTAATGACTATGAAAAAACAGTATCAACTAGTGTGCAATATGACCAGCTAGCATCATAATGACAGAATCAAATTCACACATAACAATATTAACCTTAAATGTGAATGGGCTAAATGCTCCAATTAAAAGACACAGACTTGCAAATTGAATAAAGAGTCTAGACCTATCAGAGTGTTGTATTCAAGAGACCCATCTCACATGCAAAGACAGACATAGGCTCAAAATTAAGGGATGAAGGAAAATTTACCCAGAAAATGGAAAGCAGAAAAAAGCAGGTGCTGCAATCATAGTCTCTGACAAAACAGACTTTAAACCAACAAAGATAAAAAAAAAAAAAGACAAAGAAGGGCATTACATAATGATAAAGGGATCAATTAAACAGGAAGAGCTAACTATTCTAAATATACATGAACCCAATACAAAAGCACCCAGATTCATAAAACAAATTCATAGAGACCTACAAAAAGACTTCAACTCCCACACAATAATAGTGAGACTTTAGCACACCACTGTCAATATTAGAGCAACAAGACAATATTTACAAGGATATTCAGGACTTGAACTCAGCTCTGGATCAAGTGGACCTAATAGATATATACGGAACTCTCTACCCTCAAACAAAAGAATATACATTCTTCTCAGTGCCACATGGTACTTACTCTAAAATTGACCACATAATTGGAAGTAAAACATTCCTCGGCAAATGCAAAAGAACTGAAATCATAATAGTCTCTCAGACCACAGTGCAATCAAATTAGAACTCAGGATTAAGAAACTCATGCAAAACCACACAACTTTATGGAAATTGAACAACTTGCTCCTGAATGACTCCTGGGTAAATAATGAAATTAAGGCAGAAATCAAGAAGTTATTTCAAACCAATGGGAACAATGAAACAACATACTAGAATCTCTGGAACGCAGCTAAAACTGTGTTAAGAGGGGAAGTTATAGCACTAAATGCCCACATCGGAAAGCTAGAAAGATCTCAAATCAACACCTTAACATCACAATTAAAAGAACTAGAAAAACAAGAGCAAACAACTCCAAAAGCTAGCAGAAGACAATAAATAACTAAGATTAGAGCAGAACTGAACGAGATAGAGAAACGAAAAACTCTTCAAAAAAAAATCAATGAATCAAAGAGCTAGGTTTTTGAAAAACAAATAATAAAATAGATAGAATGCTAGCTAGACTAATAAAGAAGAAAGGAGCAAAATCAAATGGATGAAACAAAAAATGATAAAGGGGATAATACCACTGACCCCACAGAAATACAAACTACCACCAGAGAATACTATAAACACCTCTATGCAAATAAACTAGAATATCTAGAAGAAATTGATAAATTCCTCAACAAATACACCCTCCCAACACTAAACCAGGAAGACATCAAATCCCTGAAAAGAGCAATAACATGTTCTGAAATTGAGGCAGTAATAAATAGTCTACCAACTAAAAAAAGCTAAGGAAAGACAGATTCACAGCTGAGTTTTAGCAGAGGTACAAAGAGGAGCTGCTATCATTCCTTCTGAAACTATTACAAACAATTGTAAAGGAGCTACTCTTCCCTAACTCATTTTATGAGGCCAGCATCATCCTAATACCAAAACTTGGCAGAGACATAATAGCAACAACAACAAAAAAACCTTCAGGCCAATATATCTGATGAAGATCAATGCAAAAATCCTCAGTAAAATACTGGCAAACTGAATCCAGCAGCACTTCGAAAGCTTATCCACCTTAATCAAGTTGGCTTCATCCCTGGGATGCAAAGCTGGTTCAACATGCACGAATCAATAAATGTAATTCATCACATAAATAGAACCAATGACAAAACCACATGATTATCTCAATAGATGCAGAAAAGGCCTTTGATAAAATTCAACACCACTTCATGCTAAAAACCCTCAATAAAGTAGGTATTGATGTAACACATCTCAAAACAATGAGATCTATTCATGACAAACCCACAGCCAATATCATACTGATTAGGCAAAAGCTGGAAGCATTCCCTTTGAAAACCAGCACAAGGCAAGGATGCTCTCTCTCACCACTCCTACTCAACATATTATTGGAAGTTCTGGCCAGGGCAATCAGGCAAGAGAAAGAAATAAAGAGTATTAAAATAGGAAGAGGGGAAGTCCAATTGTCTCTGTTTGCAGATGACATGATTGTATATTTAGAAAACTCCATCGTCTCAGCCCCAAAACTTCTTAAGCTGATAAGCAACTTCAGCAAAATCTCAGGATACAAAATCAATGTGCAAAAATCACAAGCATTCCTATACACAAACAATGGACAAGCAGAGAGGCAAATCATGAATGAACTCCCATTTACAATTGTTACAAAGATAATAAAATACCTAGGAATACAGCTAACAAGTGATGTGAATGACCTCTTCAAGAACTACAAACCACTGCTCAAGGAAATAAGAGAGGATCCAAACAGATGGAAAAACATTCCATCCTCATAGATAGCAAGAATCAATATAGTGAAAATGGCCATATTGCCCAAAGTAATTTATAGATTCAATGTTAATCCCATCAAACTACCATTGATATTTTTCACATAATTAGAAAAAAACTACTTTAAAATTCATAAGGAACCAAAGAAAGAGCCCACATAGCCAAGACAATCCTAAGCAAAAATAACAAAGCTGGAGGCATCACGTTACTTGGCTTCAAACTCTACTACAAGGCTACAGTAACCAAAGCAGCATGGTACTTATACCAAAACAGACATATAGACCAATGGAAGAGAATAGAGACTTCAGAAAAAAGACCACATATCTCCAACCATCTGATCTGCAACAAACCTGACAAAAACAAGCAATGGGAAGAGGATTCCCTATTTAATAAATGGTGCTGTGAAAACAGTCTAGTCACATGCAGAAAATTGAAACTGGATGCCTTCCTTACACCTTATACAAAAATTAACTCAAGATGAATTAAAGAATTAAATGTAAAACCCAAAATGATAACAACCCCAGAAGAAAACCTAGGCAATACCATCATGACATAGGCATGGGCAAAGATTTTATGATGAAATCACTAAAAGCAATTACAACAAATTGACAAATGGGATCTAATTATACCAAAGCACTTCTGCATAGCAATAGAAACTATCATCAGAGTGAACAGGCACCCTACAGAATAGAAGAAAATTTTTGCAATCTACACATCTGACAAAGGTCTAATATCCAGAATTTACAAGGAACTTAAACAAATTTACAAGACAAGAACAAATAACCCCATCAAAAAGTGGGCAAAGGATATGAATAGAAACTTCTCAGAAGAAGTTGTGCATTATGCAGCCAACAGTCATATGAAAAAAAGCTCAATATCATTGATCATTAGAGAAATGCAAATCAAAATCACAGTGAGATACCATCTTCCACCAGTCAGAATGGTGAATATTAAAAAGTCAAGAAACAACAGATGCTGGTGAGGCTATGAAAAAATAGGAACACTTTTATGCTGTTGGTGGAAATGTAAATTAGTTCAACCATTGTGGAAGACAGTGTGGCAATTCCTCAAGTATCTAGAACTGATACATGTACATGTATGTTTATTGCAGCACTATTCACAATAGCAAAGACATGGAATCAACCCAAATGCCCATTGATTATAGACTGGATAAAGAAAGTGTGGTACATATACAGCATGGAATACTATGCAGCCATAAAAAGGAATGAGATTATATCTTCTGCAGAGACATGGATGAAGCTGGAAGCCATTATCTTCAGCAAATTAACACAGGAACAGAAAACCAAACACCACATGTTTCACTCATAAGTGGGAGTTCAACAATGAGAACACATGGAAACAGGGAAGGAAACAACACATATCAGGGCCTGTCGTGGGGGATGGTGAGGAGAGGGAGATCATCAGGATGAATAGCTAATTCATGTGGGGCTTAAAACCTAGGTGATGGGTTGATAGGTGCAGTAAACCACCAAGGCACACGTGTACCTATGTAACAAACATACACATTCTGTGCATGTATCCCAGAATTTAAAAAGTGGATATTTTTAATATTTATAAAGTCCAGCACATGAACTTTTTATTATAAATTGTGCTTTTAGTGTTGCATCTAAGAAATATTTGCCGAACCCAAAGTCAGTTTTTTCTAGAAATTTTATAAGATTATGTTTTATATATAGGTCTATAATATATCTGAGTTAGTTTTTGTAATGTGAGAATAGTATGGATATTGTTATTATTAATGTCTTTGCATAGAGATATGCAACATATGTTGAAAAGATAATTTTTTTCCAGTAAAATACCTTCGTGCTATTGTAAAGCTCCATTGTCCATATTTTAGTGGGTCTACTCTGATCTTCCTCTGTTCCTCTTCCTTTCTGTTCTACTGACAAATATTTCTCTCCTTCTCCACAATACACTATCTTTATTACAGTAACTTCATAAAGCTTTCAGAATTAGGTAACAAGAGCCTTCCAAGCTATTGGCAAAATGGCAGTTTGAGAAACTCCAGGTCCTTTTGGCTCCCCACAGAAACATCAGGTTATAAACTGTAAACTAAAATAACTTTGTAGGAGCCCCAGAATACAGTCAATGGATTGTAACAATTAAGCAGATGCCCAATCAACAAGAAGTCACACTCATAAAGACAAGCAAATCTGTGGCCCTGTGTCACTCCCTCCCTGGTGTGGCATCTTTGGGAGGAAGTAGCCAAATTTCTTGCACTTCTTCCTCAGAGAAATGGTTTGCAAATTTTTGCTCTGTCTGTGGCCTGCTTACAGAACCATATTCTGTATCACCTAACTAAGAGATAAGATGAGGAAAGCAGCATAGATGTTTATATGGAGGGAATTAGAAAAAAGCACAGACACAGACACAGGAAATATACATGCCCAGAGAAGACCTGAGAAACATAAATCCTTCACACTGGGCTTATAGTGAAGGTTTCACCTAACATAGAGTCAAATTGCAAAAACTGGAAGAATGGCTGTTATTTCAAATGTCAAATTTTCAACAAAAATTGCAAAATGTAAAAAACAAGAAAAAATGGTCTATTTAAAGGACTGAAATAAATCTCTATGAATTGACCAAAATCTAGGACTTATTAGAAAAATACTTTATAACAACTGTTTATAGTAGGCTTAAATTTAAAAGACACAAAAAAGAAAAAGTATTATAAAAATCATATATAAAAGTGAATATGTCAACAGTGAGATATAAATTATAAAACAAAACAAAGCAGAAATTCTATAGCTGAGACATAAAATAACTGAATTGAAAAGTTTAGTACAGAAGCTCAACATCAGACTCAAACCAGAAGAAGAAAGAATTAGTAAACTTGAAGGTAGAACATTGGAAGTTAGTAAATCTGAGGAGCAAAGCCAAATAAAATAATAATGAACAACGTGAACAGAGCCTAAGACATTTATGAGAGACCGTCAAGCAGAACAATATGTGCATTATGGTAATCTTAAAAAAAGAAGTGAGAAAAATGGCATATTTTTTAAATAATGATAAGAAATCCAAAATCTGATTTTAAAACACGGATATAAAAATACAAGAAGCTCCAAGTTAAAAAAAAAATCCAAAGGACCCACTGCAAGATGCATAATAATCAAAGTTGCAAAAGCCAAATATAAAACAGAATCTTGTAAACATCTAGAGAAAAGTGACTAATCATGCACAAGGTATCTTTAATAAATTTATCAGATTATTTAGGTAAGCCTTCCAGTCTGGAAGGAGATATATCTGCAGTGTTAAAAGAAAGAAACAAACAAACCCTCTCTATCAAGTATTTAATCCAGGGCAAAGCTGTCCTTCAAAATGAGGAAGAAATTAAGACATTATCAGATAAATAAAAGCTGAGACAGTGCATTATCACGAGATCTGTGCTAAGAGAAATGCGGAAGGGAGTCTTTCACGTAGACATAAAAGGATGTATAGACAATAACTTAAAGCCCAACAAAATATAAAAATTTCTGTTAAGGATACATACATGAAAAACACACAAAAACTATTTTTTTTTGCATTTTGGTTTATAGCTATTTTTTATTCCTCTACAGGATTTAAAAAATTAAAAAAGAAATTTGAAACCTACATTAATAGTCAGAAAATATATTAATATGACATTTGTAAATCAATGACATGAAGAAAGAAAATTTGTGTACATGATTTAAATTAAAGTAGTATTAATTCAAAATAATTTTTCATATATGTAGGATATTATGGATAATCACCAAGGTAACCACAAAGGACATATCTATAGAATACACACAAAAGGAAATAAGAAGGGAATAAAAATGTGTCAATTAAAAAAAATCAACTAACCACAAAGGAAGGCATTAGAAAAAAGAGGAGGCACAAAATAGCTATAAGACATACAGAAAACAAATTATTTAAATGGCAATAATAAATCTTCCCTATCAATTATAAATTTAAACCATTATTTATTCAACTCTCTAACCAAAAGACAGACTGACACAATGGATTAAAAGCACTCTTAACTATATGGACAGTTTAATATACTCATTTTGTATTTAAGAACACGCAAAGGTTGAAAGAGATAAGAAGAAAAAAATATTGGTGCACACAGTAATGGAAAAAGCAAAGGAATGGTGATATCAATGCCAAGTAGAGTTTAAATTGAAACTGTTATAAGAGACAAATGGAAACATTATATAATGATAAAGTATAAATTCACAAGAAGATATATAACAATACTATATATATATATATGCACTAAATATCAGGGATCCTAAACATATGAGATAGAATTGAAGAGAGAAACAGAAAGCTCTGCAATAATGGTCTGGAACATTTGGAAACTGCAGTACTACAACTTTCAATGATAAATAAGAAAACTAGAAATTTTAAACGGGAAGTAAAAGACTTAACACTAATAATTATACCCAACAGATGAAAACAGATCACTCCAGGCAAAAATACTATAGCAACATACCTTTTTTGTTATTTTTAATTTTTAATTTCGATGGGAACATAGTAGATGTATATATTTATGGGGGTACATGAGCTATTTTGATACAGGCATGCAATGGTAATAATTATATCATGGAAAATAGGGTATCCATTCCCTCAAGCATTTATCCTTTCTGTTGCAATCCGCTTATGTTAGTTTTAAAATGTGCAAGTAAGTTATTGTTGACGATAGTCACCCTGTTGTGCTATCAAATATCTTATTCATTCATTCTGATTATTATCTTGTACCAATTAACCATCCCAATTTTTATCCAACTCCCACTACCCTTCCCAGACTCTGGTAACCATCTTATACTCTATGTCTTCATGAGTCCAATTGTTTTGATTGTTAGATCCCACCAATAAGTGAGAACATGTGAAGTTTGTCTTTTTGTGCCTGGATTATATCACTTGACATAATGATATCCAGTTCCATCCATGTTGTTGCAAATGACTGAATCTTATTTTCTTAATGGCTGAATAGTAATAGACTATGTATATGAACCATATTTCCTTTATATCTAAGAACATGCAATAATTGAAAGCTGATGTTGGACACTTAGGTTGCTTTGAAATCTTGGCTACTGTGACCAATGCTGCAACAAACATGAGAGTGCAGATCTCTTTGATATATTGATTTCCTCTTTGGTGGGTATGTATACCCAGCAGTGAGATTGTTGAATCATATGGCAGCTGTACTTTTATTGTTATGAGTGATCTCCAAACTGTTCTTCATATTGATTGTACTAATTTACATTTCCAACAGCAGTGTATAAGGGTTCCTTTTGCTCCATGACCTCACAAGCATTTGTTATTGCTTGTCTTTTGGATATAAGCCATTTTAACTGAGATGACATGATATCTCATGGCAGTTTTCATTTGCATTTCTCTGATGATCAATGATGTTGAGTGCCTTTTATATGCCTGTTTGTCATTTGTATGTCTTCTTTAGAGAAATGTCTATTCAAATATTTTGCTCATTTTTAATTATTAGATTTTTTTTCTATAGAGTTGTTTGAGCTCCTTATCTATTCTGGTTATAAATCCCTTGTCAGCTGGGTAGTTTGAAAATATTTTCTCCCATTCCGTGGGAGAAAATGTTCATTAAAGCTCTGAAATGACCTCCTTTGACTCCATGTCTCACATCCAGCTCATTCTGATGCAAGAGATGGGTTTTCATGGTTTTAAGCAGCTCTGTCCCTGTGATTTTTTTTTTTTTTTGAGATGGAGTCTCACTTTGTTGCCCAGGCTGGAGTGCAATGGTGCAATCTCGGCTCACTGCAACCTCCGCCTCTCAGGTTCAAGCGATTCTCCTGCCTCATCCTCCCAAGTAGCTGGGACTACAGGTGCCCACCACCACACCTGGCTAATTTTTGTATTTTTAGTAGAGGTGGAATTTCACCATATTGACCAGGCTGGTCTCGAACTCCTGACCTTGTGATCTGCCCGCCTCAGCCTCCCAAAGTGCTGGGATTACAGGCATGAGCCACCACGCCTGGCCTGTCCCTGTGGATTTTTTAGGGTACAGCCCCCATCTTGGCTGCTTTCATGGGCTGAAGTTGAGTGTCCACAGCTTTTCTGGGTACACTATGCAAGCTTTTGGTGGATCTACCATTCTAGGGTCTTGAGGATGGTGGCCTTCTTCTCACAGCTCCCCAGTGGGGACTCTGTATCAGGGCTCCAACCCTACATTTCTCTTCTGCACTGCCCTAGCAAAGGTTTTCCATGAGGGCTCCACTCCTGCAGCAAATTTCTTCCTGGACATCCACTGAAATCTAGGTGGCAGTTCCCAAAGCTCAATTCTTGACTTCTTGTACACCTGCAGGCCCACCACCAAGTGGCACTACCTATTGAAGTGTTCAGACCAGTGGTCTGGGACAACTTGGTCCTTCCCACATGGCATGTTTCTAACCTCCAAAAGCCAGAGAATAAAGCCGTGGGCCTGATACCAGCCCCTGAGAGTTAAAGCATGCAGTTGAGGTATAATGAGCTGAGCCTTGACCCACTAAAATCCTCCAGAAATAAAGCCGATCTACTGAGCCCACCTTATACCACAGTCAACCCACCAAGAACATCAGACATGATAAAAGAAAAAATTCAAAGGTCCGGAACCTCAAAGATTGAAGGAGCATCAGCCCTTAAAGATGAGAAGAAAACTAGCACAAGAACTCTGACAACTAAAAAGACCAGAGTTTCTTCTTACCTTCAAATAATCACACTAGTTCCCCAGCAATGGTTCTTACACAGAATGAGATGGCAGTAATGACAGAAATAGAATTCAGAATACAGATGGCAAGAAAGATCATTAACATCCAATCCAAGGAATATAACAATTACAATAAAACAATACAGAGGCCGATAGACAAAACAGTCATAATAAGAAAGAACACTGATCTGATAGAGCTAAAAAACACTCTACAGAAATTTTGCAATGAAATCACAAGTATTAATGGTAGAACTGACCAAGATAATAAATCAATCTCAGAGTTTGAAGACTGAATCTCTGAAGTACCTCAGTAAGAGAAAAATATAAAAAAAAATTAAAAAGAATGAACAAAACCTTGAAGAAATATAAGATTATGTAAAGAGACCCAATCTATGACTCATTGGCATTCCTGAGAGACAAGGAGGGAAAAAATGCATCTTGGGAAACATATTTCAGGATATTGTCCTTGAAAATTTCCCCAGACTTGCTATAGAGGTCAACATTCAAATTCATGAAAAGCAGAGAACTCCTGAGAAATACTACACAAGAAGACCATTCCCAAGACACTACTCATCAGATTCTCCAAGGTTGAAATGAAAGGAAAATGTTAAAAGCAGCTAGAGAGAAGGGCAGGTCTCCTACAAAGGGAGCCCCATCAGGCTAAAAGAAGACCTGTCAGATGAAACCATATAGGCCAGAGGAGATTGAGGGCCTATATACAGCATTCATAAAGGAAATAATTCTCAACCAAGAATTTTATATCAGGTCAAACTAAGCTTTATAAGTGAAGAAAAAATAAGATCTTTTTCGACAAGAAAATGCTTAGGAAATTTATTACCACCAGACGTGCCTTACAATAGTTACTTAAGGGAGTGATAAATATGAAAAGGAAAGGCTGTGACTAGCCACTACAAAAAAACACTTAAGTACATAGACCAGTGACACTATAAAGCAATGACACAAACAAGTCTGCATAATAACCAGCTAACAACATAACAGGATCACATCCACTTACGTCAATAATAACCCTGAATGTAAATGGGCTAAATGCCCCAGTTGAAAGGCACAGAGCGGCAAGTTGCATAAAGAAGTAAAACCCAATTGCATACCGTCTTCAAGATACTCATCTCACAGGCAATGACACCCATAGGCTCAAAGTAAAGGGATGGAGAAAAATTTACCAAAAAAACAAAAACCAAAAAAAAAAAAAAGGAAAAGCAGGAGTTCCTATTCTAATATCATACAAAACAGACTTTAAGCTAACAAAAATCAAAAAACACAAAAAAGAGCATTACATAATGTTAAAGGGCTAAACTCAACAAGAAGACCTATCCTAAAAATATATACACCCAATACAGGAGCACTCAGATATATAAAGCAAGTTCTTAGAGACCTATGAAGAGATTTAGATAACAACACAATAAGAATGGAAGACTTTAACACCCCACTGACAGTATTAGACAGATCATTGAGGCAAAAAAATAACAAAGAGATTTGGGACCTTAACTCAACCCTTGAGGAAATGGACATAATAGACATCTACAGAACTCTCCACATAAAATCAACAGAATATACATTCTTCTCGTCTGCACATGGCACATACTCTAAAACTGACCACACAATTGGCCATAAGATAACTCTCAGCTAATAAAAAAATGAAATTATATCGACCACATCATCAGACCACAGTGCAATAAAAATAGAAACCAATCCTAAGAAAATAACTCAAAACCATACAATTAAATGGGAATTAAACAACCTGCTTCTGAATAACTTCTGAGTAAACAATGAAATAAAGACAGAAATCAAGAAATTCCTTGAAACTAATTAGAAAAAAAGATACAACATACCAGACTTACAGGAAATGCTCAAAGGACTCCTAAACATGAAAAATGAAAGAATGATACTTGCTACCATAAAAGCACATGTAAGTGCAAAGCTAACAGATTCTAAAAATCAATTACATAATTGAGATTAGAAAGAAACAAATTAACAATATGTCAGGAATGAGACCCTTGAACCTAAGAAGCTTAAACGCTCCACTTAAGAGACATAGATAGCAAATTGATTCAGAAAACAAGGCCCAAGCTTCTGCTTACTTCCAGAAACCTAACTCATGAGTAAGGATACCCCACATGCTCAAAGTAAAGAGATGGAAAAATATCTATTATGAAAATGGAAACAAAAAAGAGTCAGGGGTTGCTATTCTTGTATGAGATTAAACAGACTTTATACCAAAAATGGTAAAAAGAAACAAAGAAGGGCATTGTATAATGATACAGGGTTCAATTCAACAAGAATATTTATCTATCCTAAGCATATACTTACCCAACATGAAAGCACCTAGATTTAGGAAACAAATACTCCAAGAACTAAGAAAAGAGATAGACAGCCAAACAATAATAATTGTGACAGACTTCAATACCCTACTGCTAGCATTAGACAGATCACTGGGGCAGAAAACTAACAAAGAAAATTTGGACTTAAATTGAGTTATTCACCAAATAGACCTAATAGATATTTACAAAATACTCCACCCAACAATCACAGAGTATACATTCTTCTCATCTGCCTAATACATTCTCTAAGATTGACCACATGCTCAGTTATAAAGCAAGTCTCAATAAATACAAAAAATATTGAAATCATATCAAGCATATTCTTGGACTACAGTGGAATAAAATTAGAACTGAATCCCACAAGGAACTCTCAAAACCACACAAATACATGGAAACTAAACAACTAGCTCCTAAATGACTTTTGGGTAAACACAAAATTAAGACAGATATCAATGACTTTTGGGTAAACACAAAATTAAGACAGATATCAAAAAAATCTTTGAAAAAGGAACACAGAGACACAAATTACCAAAACTTCCTAAATACAGCAAAAGCAGTGTAAGAGGAAAGTTTATAGCGCTAAATACATAAATCAAGAAGACAGAAAGACTTAACAAACCAACATCACACCTAAAGGAACTGGAAAAAAACAAAAACAAACTAAATGAAAAGCTAGCGAAAGAAAATAAAGAACTGATATCAGAGAAGAACTAAATAAAATCGAGACAAAGGAAATCATACAAAGGATCAATAAAAAATGGTTCTTTGAAAGGATAAACAGTATTGATACACTGCTAGATAGACTAACTAAGAACAAAAGAGAAAATCCAAGTAAGCAAAATAAAAATGACAGAGGTGACACTAAAATTGATACCACAGAAATAAAAAGATCCTCAGAGACTATTAGTAATACTTCTGTGGGCACAAAGTAGATAACCTACAGGAAATGGATAAATTACTGGAGATACACAACTTTCCAAGAGTGAACCAGGAAGAAATTAAAATACTGAACAGACCAATAATGAGTTACAAAACTGAATCAGTAACAAAAAATAGATCTACCAAAAAATTCCCTGAATCAGACAGATTCAAGGAGAGGGGATTCCTCTCTAAATTATTCTATAAAACCAGTTTCTTCCAGATACCAAAATCTGGCAAGGACAAAACAAAAATTGGACACTACAGGTCAATATTCCTGATTAACCTAGTCACAAAAGTCCTCACACAAATACTAGCAAACTGAATATAGCAGCATAAATTGGGCTTTATTCCAGAAATGCAAGGATGCTTTAACATATGTGACTCAATATACGTGATTCACCACATAAATAGAATTAAAAATAAAAACATATTATCTCAATAGATGCTGAAAGAACATTTGATTAAATCCAACATCCCTTCATAATAAAAAAAAACCTTTCAACAAACTAGGCATACAGGGAACATGTCTCAAAATAATAAGAGTCATGTATGACAAACCCACAGCCAACATCATACTGAATGGGCAAAAGTTGGAGGTATCCCCCTTAAAAACTAGGAAAAGACAAGTTTGTCTATTTTCACCAGGCCTATTCAATGTAGTACTGGAATTCCTAGCCAGAGCAATCAGGTGAGAGGAAAAAAAAAAAAAGACATCCATATAGGAAAAGAGGAAGTCACATTATCTAAGATCATCAGATATCTATCTTTACCTTCAGTAAAGGTTTAGAGTACAAAATCAAAATACAAACATTAATAGCAATATACAACAATAACATTCAAGCTGAGAACCAAATCAAGAATGCAACGACATTTACAATAGCCACCAAAAAATAATACCTAGGAATACATTTAACCAAGTAGGTAAAAAACCTCCAAAAGCGGAACCACAAAGCATTGCTGAAATAAACCATAGATGATATAAACAAATGAAAAAAAGTTCCATGTTCAAGGACTGGATGAATCAATATTGATAAAATGACCTTACTGCCAAGAGCAATCTACAGAGTCATGCAATTTCTATCAAATTACCATCATTCACAGATTAGAAAAAACTATTCTAAAACTCATATGGAACCAAAAAAGGAGCCCAAATAGCCAAAGCAATCCTAAGCAAAATGAACAAAGCCAGAGATACCACATCACCCAAATTCATACTATTCTACAAGGTTATAGTAACCAGAAGAGCATGGTGCAAGTAAAAATCAGACACACATACCAACGGAACAGAATTGAGAACCCAGAAATAAAGCCACACAGCTACATCTTATTGATGTTTGACAACGTCAACAAAGATAAACAATGGTGAAAGAACGTGCAAGCCATTCAATAAATGATGCTGGGAAAACTGGCTAGCCATATGCAAAAGAGTAGAACTGGACCCCTATCTCTCACTGTATACAAAAATCAACTAAAGATTAAAGACTTGAATATGAGACTTGAACTACAGAAGTCCTAGAAGAAACCTAGGAAAAACTCTTCTGGACATTGGCCTAGGAAAATAATTTATGACTAAGACCTCAATAGCAAATGCAACAAAATAAAAATTGACAAATGGAACTTAAACTAAAGAGCTTCTTCACACCAAAATAAACTGTCAATAGAGTACACAGACAATCTACAGAATGAGAGAAAGTAGTCACAAATGATACATCCTATAAAGGACTAAAATAAAGAATTTATAAGAAACTAACAAATCAACAAAAAATAAAAAAAGAATTCTTAAAAAGTGGGAAAAGGACATAAAATGACACTTCTCAAAAGAAAGCATACACAGTCAAGAAATATAAGAAAAAAAATGCTCAACATCACTAATCATCAGAGAAATGCAAATCAAAACCACAATTAGATACCATCTCATACCACTCAAAGTGGCTATTATTTAAAAGTAAAAAAAAAAAAGATGTTTTTGTGGATGCAGGAAAATGGGGATGCTTATTCACTGTTAGTGGGTATGCATACTAGTACAACCTCTATGGAAAACAGTGTGGAAATGTCTCAAAGAACTAAAAATAGAGCTACCATTTGATCCAGCAATCCCACTATTAGGTATGTCCCCAAAGAAAAAGAAACTTGTATGTTTATCACAGCACTATTTATAATAGCAAAGACATGAAATCAACCTACATGTTCATCAATGGAAAAATGGATAATGAAAATTCGGTACATACACATGAAGGAATGCTAAACAGCCATTAAAAAGAATGAAATTATGTCCTTTCCAGAAACATGGATGCAGCTGGAGGACATTTTCTTAAGTGAAATAATACAGAAACAGAAAATCAAATAACACATGTTTTCACTTATAAGTGAGAGGGAAACAATAAATACACATGGACATAAAGATGGAAACAATAGACACTGGAGACTACAAAGTAGGGAGGAGCCTGGCACAGTGGCTCATGCCTGTACTCCCAGAACTTTGGGAGGCTGAGTTGGGCACATCACTTGAGCTCAGGAGTTCAAGCCTGGGTTAATCCTCTAAGTAGAAATAACAATCCATAAAATGTATGTGCCTAACAATAAAGCATCATAATATATGAGGATCTGCAAGGAGGAATAGAGAAATCCAGCATTATAGTTCAACATTTCAACACTTCTCTATCAGTAATTGCCAGATCTAGCAGGCAGAAAATAGTAATGATACAGTTGAACAGAACAGAACCACCATTAAACTATATGTAATTGATATTTATAGAACATTTTATCCAACAGCAGCATAATACACATGCTTCCTAATTTCACACAGAGCATTCACCAGGATACACCACAGTTTTGAGCATAAAGCACACTCTAACAAATTTATTTTTTATTATGTTTTATTTTTAATTTACAGTAATTATATGCTTATGGAATACAGTGTGATGTTTTGATAAACCATTGTAGAATAATTAAATCAAGCTAATTAACTTATCTTTCATCTTGCCTGTTTTTCAATTTTGTGTGTGGAGAACTTTTAAAATTGAACTCTTTTAGGGATTTTGAAATATAAATTATTATTAACTGTAGTCATCATGCTATGAAACTGGTCACTAAAATTTATTCCTCCTGTCTAAAACTTTGTATCCTTTGACAGATATTTCCCCTTTCCCCACCCCCATTCCAAGCCTCTAG
Source organism: Homo sapiens (assembly GCF_000001405.40). Classification (NCBI taxonomy): domain Eukaryota; kingdom Metazoa; phylum Chordata; class Mammalia; order Primates; family Hominidae; genus Homo; species Homo sapiens. Next base: position 3,659,069 of record NC_000024.10, on the reverse strand, counting down.
TAATCACCATTCTACTCTCTACTTCTTTAAGTTGACATTGTTTACATTCAGCATATGTAAGTGAGATCATGCAGTATTTATCTTTCTGTCTGGTTTATTTCACTTAGCACAGTTTCCTCCAGGTTCACCAATGTTGTTGAAAATGACAGAATTCCCCTTTTTATCCCATTATGTATATATACCATATTTTCTTTATCCATTTATCCATTAATGGACACTTAAGTTGCTTCCATATCTTGGATATTGTGAATAATGCTACAATGAAAATGGGAGTGCAGATTTATCTTCAACATACTGGCGTCAATTTCTTTGGATATATACTCAGAAGAGGTATTGCTGAACCATGTGATAATTCTATTTTTAGCTTTTAGAGAAACTTCATACTCCTTATCATAGTGGCTGTACTAATTTACATTTCCACTGACAGTATATCAGGGTTTCCTTTTCTCCACATCCTGGCTAAAACTTGTTATCTTTCATCTTTTGGATACTACTTATTCTGACAGATATGAGGTTTTAATAATTGGGATTTTAATAAGTTTTTAGGATACAAGGTTAATATACAAAAGTCAATTGATGCCTCATGTACCAGCAATGAACAATGGAATTTGAAATTAAAAACTCAATATCATGTATCGTACCACCTAAAAAATCCTGAAATAGTCACAAAGCTAACAAAATATGGACAAGATATTTGTTATTTCTATATGAAAAAATTTATAAAACTGTGATTAAAGAAATAACTGAATATCTAACTGAAAGGAAAGATATCTCATACACGGACAGAAAGACTCAATATTGTCAAGATGGCTATTTTCCTAACTTGATTTCAAGATTCAACACAATCAGAATAAAAATGAAAATTAGGTATATTGTGAACATTCACAAATATTCTAAAGTTTATATGAAATGACAAAAGATATAGGATAGCTGACACAATTTTGAACAAGAACAAAGTTGGATGACTGACACTATATAACTTCAATACTCGTTATAAAGCTGCATTAATAAAATAGTGTGATACTAACAATGGACAAGTAGATTCAATAGAAAGCACAGAGAGCCCCAAAATAGATCCATACTAATGTTATCAATTGATTTTTGATAAAAGAGTGAAAGCAGTTCATGGGAAAAGGATATTCTTTTCAAGAAATGGTGCTGGAAAACTGTACATACATGTTCAAAAATAATAATAATCTTACTACTTTCACAAAAATTAACTAAAAATAAACGATACAACTAAATGTAAAATGTATAATCTGTACACCCAAAACCCATGACACACAAGTTACTTATATAACAATCCTGCACATGTACCCCCAAACCTAAAATAAAAGTTAAAAAAAAAGTTGACATGACCACAAAACAAAAAACTAAAAACCCTCTTAGCAAAACATGTAGGAGGAAACCTAAATGATCTTGGATTTGGTGATGACTTTTTACATATAAGACAAAAAGCCTGATCCAGGAAATAAAAGGTAGGTAAACTGGACTTAATTAAATGTAAATGCTTATTCTCTATCAAAAATACTGTTAAGAGAAAGAGAAGAAAAGCCACTAAAGGAACATATTTGCAAAACACATTGATAAATGACTGATACCTGAAATATGCAAAAAACACTTAGGTCTCAAGAAAAAAAAAAACAATAAAAAAAATCTAAAAATATGAATAGAAAGCTTCCCTAAGAAGGCATACAGATGGCATAATTGCATATGAGCATACAAAAATATATCATTAGAGAATTGCAGATTAAAACAATATAATACCACTATACACCTATTAGAATGGGAAAAATTTAAAAGACCGACAGCATCAAATGATAATAAGGATATGTAACAACAGGTACTCTCATTTATTGCTGGTAAAAATACAAAATTGTACAGATATTTGGGAAAAAGAGTGGCAGTTTCTTGCATAACTAAACGTGCTCTTACCATATGACCCAGAAATTCTGCTCCTTAATATTTACCCAAAGAAGTTGGAAACTTACATTTACACTAAAATCTGCACATAAATCTTCATAGCAGCTCTTTTCATAATGGAATAAATTTAAAAGCAACCAAAATGTTTTTAATAGGTGTATAGGTAACCAAACTGTCATATATGCATGCAATGGAATATTCAGTGGTTTTAAAAAAACTATCGGAGAAAAATAGAAGAACTTTAAATGTATATTGCTAAGTGAAATAAACTAATCTGAGAAGGCAACATACCTGTATAATTTTAAGGATATGACCTTCTGGAAAAAGCAAAACTATTCTGAGAATAAGAAGATTAGTGATTGGTAGAAATTTCTGTAATATATGGAGCACATAGGATTTTTATGGCACTGAAACTATTCTGTATGATAATGTAATTGTAGATATATGTCATTATACATTTGTCCAAACCCATAGAATGTAAAACACAAAGTGAGACCTATAACATAAACTGAGGACTTCAGTTAATAATGCATTAATATTGGCTCATCAATTGTAACAAAGATACTTCTGTTCTTTTTCTATTAGCCTTAAACTCCTGAAAAATATGGTACATTATTTTTTTTAAGTTAACCAAGAAAAAATAATAGTGGAGTACTGATAAATGCTACAGATCATGAAAGAACATCAAAAGATGTGCTAAGCAAAATAATACTCTCACAAAGGACCACTTTTTTATGATTCAATTCAAAGGCAAATCTGTAGAGGCAAAAAGTAAATTAAAGATTGTCTAAGACTTGGTTGAAGAAGGAATAGGGTATCGAGGCTATTGGGTACAGGGTTTCTTTTCAAAGTAATAATTATTTTCTAAAATTAGGTAGTGGTAATGACTGCATAATTTTGTGACTATACTAAAGACTTCTAATTTGTACATTTTAAAGGGATGAATTTCATGGTATGTGAATTATATCTCAAAGAGGTAATAGTTATAAAAACAAATGAAAAAGCTGTAAGATGGATAAAAGGAAATATCCACATACACTTTATTCTAACTGATAAAGTTGTTTTCCATGGGCACATGGGTTAACACTACTGAAACCACTATACACTTGTACTGGAATTGAACAAATAAGTTAATTGATATTGACTGATATGAGCCAGCTTTTTCACTGTTGTAGTTGGGAGTTACAGATATGCAAAGAAAGTGGGCTCGAATAATCCACGTGATAATAAAGTTGAAGATTATAGTATTAATTTATGATTAGCTTAAGTATAATGATGGCTTTTAAAGTGTCAGTCATACCTCAATAAAATAATTTTTTAATGATCAGCTTAACATAAACATAGTTGGTTACATGCAGAAATAGGTAAAGGTATATGTATATACATGAGTGAGTATATGTAAAATTTTGTTTGTATTCCCTGATAGGGCCTAGAAACAAAAGCATCTCAGTAAGAACAGGCATGACTAGTGTTGTGATTTTAGTTTCTAATACAGTTTTCCAATAAAAGAACCAGGAATACTTGTAGTAAAAGCCGATTTTAGAATTAGGGTAAGAAATACACAAAAATTATCCTGAAGCAACTTACAGTGCCAGAAAATACAAAAGTGTTTAAAACCCTTGATATGATGTAATGAATGGCACTTTGTATCTGTGGTCTTCTCCAAAACTCATAGCCTCCGAGTGCCAAACAAACAAAGCAAACTTAAAAAAAAATTGAGCAATATTCTATAAAATGTCTGACCAGTAGTATGTAAAATTCTTAAAGTTATCAAAAGGAAAATGTCTCAGAACTGTCACAGATCATATCGGACTAAGAAATGACTAAATGTAATGTCAATTCTGATTGAAATTCTTGAAAATGACATTAAGAAATAACTATTAAAGTCTAAATAATGTGTAAAGTATACACATAATGTATATACTATATATAATAGTGTATAAAATATATGGTATATAATATATAGTGTATATAATACATAGTATATTATATATAATATGTATATATTTTATATATATATAGTATTTTGCTGATGTTGGTTCCTTAATGCATCAAAGTCATATAAAATGTTAACAATATGGGAGAATGGATAAGATACAGGAAACACGATTTTTCTACGTATTTAAAACTATTCTAAAATTGAAAGTTTAAATTTTAAAAACATGATAAAACAAATGTTAATATAATGTTGCCAATTTTTTTTTTTTTTTTTTTTTTTTATGGAGTCTCGCTCTGTCACCAGGCTGGAATGCAGTGGCGCGATCTCAGCTCACTGCAACCTCCGACTCCCTGATTCAAGCAATTCTCCTGCCTCAGCCTCCCGAGTATCTGGGATTACAGGCACGCACCACCACGACTAGTTAATTTTTGTATTTTTAGTAGAGACAGGGTTTCACCATGTTGGCCTGAATGATCTCGATCTCCTGACCTTGTGATCTGCTCACCTCGGCCTCCCAAAGTGCTGGGATTACAGACGTGAGCGATCGTGCCCGGCCTAATGGTGCCAATTTTAAAAAACAGTCAGTTAAAAACATTTGGAGTCCTAAAGAAAAACATGCATTTAAGCAGAAATAGATAATTTTAATCTTTTATTTAACTGACACATGGAGTGGAATGCTTTTCATAAATGGATAGTCTGATTAATACCTACATACTGCGTAAACCATACAGAAAATATTTTCTTAAGACATTGGAAAATGTATGCTATGCACTTCACGTTTTAAAATATTTTAAAGATAATCAAATTTCTACTCTATGATATAGTAATGACTTCTAGATTTTATAATAGTTTGGATCATTATTATTAGCCTAATAAAGTATCATATTCCACGGCTTCTATTATTTATGAACAAGAAGATAAATAAATGGCTTTAATAAAAAGCTAATTGCACACATTATAGTTATTGGCAGAGGACTATTGAATTTAACATGTTTTATTTTACTAATTTTTTCAGGAATATGTCATAAATTAAACAATATGCATTAATATAGTATCTAAAATGAGTAAATTTGACCATTGTCACTGATCATAAAATGTGTTCTCTCAAATATTATACTAATATTTAACCAGTACTTTGAAAGCCAAAATTACTGAAAATGTGAAAAAATATTCAAATATAGCATGACAAAGCAAAAGGAAATCAATGTTGTTGACGGACACTGATTTTGTAAGTGATAGTTTGCCAGAAATCTAATGGTAAGGTAACTATTAATAGTTAAAATAAAAATAATTTTCTGTTATATGTTTATTTACTCCACCAGTAGGGAAATCAACAATAAAATGACAGGTTTTTTAAAAAACTGCCACTTAGTAAATGTTTACGGTTCCACCACTACTATCTGAAATACAGCATATCTGCTGACAGAGTTCTAAAATAAGTTTGGGTTTTAATTTCATTCAAGTTATCACACACAATTTTCAAATTATTTCTGTGAACATTTGAAGGTGTGTTTTCTAATCCTATTTTATCCACATGAGTGTATCTACAATTACATGGAGGTCTTTCTAAAAGTTATATAATAAATATTGCTTTATAGCAAATTACCATCCTAACCAGGAGAAGTAAAAATTTCAGATTTTTAGTATCTTTGGGATAAAATATTTAATATGGTTACTTAAAATATTGGGAGGCCAAGGCAGGCAGATCACAAGGTCAGGAGATCGAGACCATCCTAGCTAACACAGTGAAACACCGTCTCTATTAAAAATACAAAAAGAAAATTAGCCAGGCATGGTGGTGGGCGCCTGTAGTCCTAGCTACTCGGGAGGCTGAGGCAGGAGAATGGCGTGAACCCAGGAGGCGGAGCTTGCAGTGAGCCAAGATGGCACCACTGAACTCCAGCCTGGGCGACAGTGCGAGACTCTGTCTCAAAAAAAAAAAAAATTACTTCCTTTTTATGATCTTTATTAACCTTTCTGGTGGATTTATAATGTTTCATGATGCTTGTCTTTCTGTGTAGAATTATTTTCACATATTCTTTTAAGGTGTCAAACACTTCAGTAGTAAGTTGAGTTGTTTTCTTTTTTGGATTTGTTTCTAGTTTTTGCTTGTTTATTTTTGTTGTTGCTGTTGTTTTAGTTTATAAACCAAGACCATAAAAATATAAGTAAAAGTGTGTGTTCATTGCCTTATATGTTAAAATTACCTAATTATAGCCTTATCAGATATTTCCACTTCTGACCAACATGGAGTAACATAGGATATAACTTGCCATCTGAAACAAACAAACAAAAAATTTAGATACAATATATGAAAGATGATTTTCAAGACACTGAACTTCAAGCAAAGGACAGTGATCCCAGAGAGTCAGCCAGGAAATAAACAAGGTAAGACCTACATCACCCCAGTTTCTTGCCTTAAGAAATTTTCTAGGCCATGGCTCGGGTATGACAATCTAATAACAATAGTGGTGGATTCAGGGAGTAAAAGACAGGGAGTTAAGACACTGGGCAGACCAAGAGAACTAGAATTTGCATGACAACATAGCAGAGAGAAGAGAGCTGCACACTGAGATAATTCCATAGTTCTTCAGATGGCCTGATTTCAAATATTTCATAAAAGTAGTGATCAGTGCAGATGTGTGAGGCAACTAACCAATACTAGGGAAAAGTTATTTTAAAGGAATAGTGTCTTGTGTTTACACAGGGCTGGAAAATATGCATGTTCCCACAAGCCACAGAGGAAAAACACATAATTCACAGGACAATGGATACTGCAATCAGGAAAGTCTTGCCTCAGTAATGGAGAATAATTAGGACAAAATAGAGCCAAAAAGAACAAAAAACTTCAGTATGTATTAGAAGTGGAGGTATAATTTACTCAATCTATATTAAAAATAGTTTTACAAATTTTATTTCTGAAAGAGATGATATGGAGTGCTTTCTCTGAGAACAAGTAGAAAAACCAGATATATTACAAAAACTGTATTTTAAGGCATTAGAAAACTTTAGAAGCCATGATAACTAGGGAAATGAATTTCCAGGAAGTGACAAGTTTTCAGAGATGAGCTGAGGATCCGTAGCTGATATTTCTATGAAAGCATTTGCCTAATGCCTCAGAATGATAGCACTAGCTATATGTGGCAAACTCTGTATATATAAATTAACAAAAATTAAATAAACATTGAATTCTATAGTCACACCAGTCATACAACAAGCACTTGATAGCCACATGTGACTGACAAATATCCCTTTGTGTATGTACAGATATGTAGATAATATTTCCATCATAAGATGAAAATATAAAAAATTACATGATCATTTCAATGAATGCAGAATAATTTAAAAATAAACTTTAATATACATTAATTCCTCTTAAAAAAATTCTAAGAAACTTTATCAGTCAGATTTCTTCAGAAAAAATTTTAAGAGAAGGAGAGAGAAAGACTTTAAGGAATGGGTTCACATGATTGTGGAGTTTAGTAAGTCTGAAATCAATAGGACACGCCTACAGGCTGGAAACTCAGGCAAGAGTTGATGTAGTCTTCACTCTAAAAATTGTAGAACATGCTTCCAGGATGGAATGTCAGGCAGGAATTTTGTTAGTCTTGAGATAGGTTTTCTTCTATTCTGAGAAACCTCAATTTTTGAGCTTAAGGCCTTCAACCATTTAGAAAAAATCCTCCATATTATCCAGAGTTATCTCCTTTAGTTAAAGTCAACTGAAAACAAGGTTAATCACATCTAAAAAAATACCTGCACAGAATGGTTTAGACTAGTGTTTAACCAAACAACTGGACATCATAGTCTAACTTATTTGACACATACAGTTTAATAATCTAGTTCACCACCTGTCAACTTGACACCCATCTACATCTCATTAACCCACACTTACCTCAAAATAAAGACAATGACAAAGTCATACTTCCACCTAACATGATATAATCACTCTGTGCACAACAAAAAATTCACTAACTCTTTCTCCAACAAAAAAAAAATTTGAAGTCCTCGGCAATGTTCACTCCTATTCTTCATATCCTGTAATGTGATACTAAAATTTAAACTTAACAACACTTAAATATGATAATGGAACATTAATATATTATATGTCATATGATAATAAGATAACAGAGAGTAAATAAAGATAATAAGTCCATACACATAAACATACAAACATTCATAAAAAATATGAAAAAAATAATCATAGGAATTATTCCTGCAACTGGTCATGTGGTCAAACTTTTATTCAAAAACTACCTTCTTTGACTACCCATTCCATATTCCCTTTGCCCATTGCAAGCACATAAGCTGAACATGGCACTTAGCTTTAGGAAATGACCAAGCCTTTACTTCTGAAGTATTTGAGCCCTTAGCAATCCTGCCTAAATCGAGTTTTCATAGTTTTCCATTGACTTGAATCATAGAACAAGGTAGTACTAAAAAGGTGCCTTAATGCATCTGGTTCCACAGCTTCACTTTACATTACTCCAATGTATTTTCCAAGCTTAGGTATGGAGCCCTAAAACCAAAACTTGATCTGAGGGATTCAGAGACAGTAGACAGCAGAAGGCTACGGTACCACGCAGGTGAGTATGATTGTTTCTGCCAACTAGGCCTTCCTGCTTCATGGGTGAAGAATTTGCTTGCATCTGTGGCATAGATGAGGTCTAGGGAACCCAAAGGTTACCAACAGTGGAAGGCTAAGGCACAGCGTAGGTAAGTGTGACCATCCCTAATGACTAGGCCTTCCTACTTCATGGTTGGCACTTGCACTTGTGTCCATGGGTGGTGCACCTAGTGGCTTCCAGGACTCGGAGAAGGGAAGAAAGAAAGGGATGCCTTTTTTTCTCTCCCTCACATACCCCAGGATTTCACTGGAAGAGAGAAGGGAACTAAGGGATGCCTTTCCCCTTTTCTTTCAGATGGGTAACAAACTATCTTCAGCCTGCACTTCTCTTGAGTGCATCCTGAATCACTGGGACTCTTTGACCCTCAGACTCTGGGCAAAAAATATGCCTTATATTCCTGTGCACAAAGCCTTGGCTAGGTTATAATCTGCAAAGGAAAATCGGAAGGGACTAGGGAAGCAAATCTCAGAGGTGCCTTCAGCAGAGGAGTCATCTCCCTCCAACCCTGCTCCTCCTGGCCCACTCCATCATCCCTATTCAGGTTCTCTCTCAAGTTTGCCTCATCCTAGAAATCCTCATTTTAGGCAAGTCCCAGTCTCATTCCTTCCCCTGCAAGAAATACCTGGTGAATATTTTCCCATTACGGTCCCAGGTCCCCTTTTCTCTACAGGACTTAAGGTAAAAGGCAAATTAAGGGTGATCTCGGCAAGTTTTCAGATGACTCTGACAGGAATATACAGGCTTTCCAGAATTTAACCCAAGTATTTAAACTCTCCTGGAAGGATATTACTTTTGAATCAAACCCTGACTACTGCTAAAAAGCAGTAGAATTATTAGGATGAGCTTTGTATCTCATATAGTGCCAAGGAAGCAGATGAGCCTTACCCAATGGGAAGAATAGCAGTACCAGTGGAGGACCTTAAATGGGACCCCAGTGATGAAATGGAAAAATGGCAGAGGAAACACTTTAGGTGTGCATATTGGAGGGCTTACAAAAGACTAGAACTAAGCCTCTCAATTACTCCAAACTATCCGTGATAGACCAGGAATTAGAGAATCCCATTGCCCTTCCTGGAAAAGCTAAGAGATGCCTTGGTAAAACACAACCCTCTATCTCCAGATTCAATTGAAGAACAACAAGTCCTAATTCAACTAATCCTAATCTAATTGAACAACTAATCCTGATTCAATTGGAGAACAACTAAAATCAGGAAGAAACTGCAGAAACAGCCCCTGGGACCAGATAGTACTTTAGAGAACCTCCTGAAAGTAGTTACCTCAGTCTTTTACCATAGGAATCAGGAGAAGGCTCAGGAGAGAGAGATAAGAGACACAAGAAAAAGGCAGAAGCTCTCATGGCTGCCTTGCAGGCTCACAAATCCCAGAATCCCTGAGAAGCACCTGTTAACTGCTACAAATATGGCAAGCCATGGCACTTTAGGAAAAACTGCCCTGGAAGAGTAAGGAAGCCACTTCAACCCTGTTTAATCAGCAATGGGGACCACTAGAGGGTGGACTGTTCCCAGATTCAGGTCACTGGGTCCAGAGCCAATCTCTCAAATGGTCCAGCAGGACTGATGAGACTGGAGTTCCTCTCCCTGGCTGCAATGGTTGAGATTGTCATTACTATCCAGGAGTCCTGGGTGATTCTGGAGGTTGAAGGGAGGAAGGTGGACCTCTTCCTCGACAATTAAGTGGCCATTTCTGTTCTCCTTTCCATTCTGGGCCTCCACTCCCTTAGCATGACTGTGAGGGGAATCTCAGGAAAGCCTTTAACCTGACATTTTTCCCAACCTCTTAGTTGTAACTGGGGAGACCTCTTGTTTACTTATGACTTTTTAATCATGCCTGAAAGCCCAATTCTTCTGCTGGGCAGGGATATCTTAGCTTATATGAAAACCACCATTCTTATGGCTCCAGGACAGACTCTTTGCATCCCCCTTATGGAGACCAATATTAGCCCAGAAGTTTAGGCAAGTCAAGGAATGATTGACTGAGCCACAAATGCCATACTGGTCTGGATCCACCTTAAAGATCCCACCTGCTTTCCTAACCAGAGATAATGTCTCCTAAAACCAGAAGTTAGGAAAGAGCTAAAAACTATTATTGATAATTTGAGGATGCAGGACCTCCTCAAACCCTGCAACAGCCCGTGTAATACCCTGGTGTTGGGGGTACAGAAACCCAATGAGGAATGGAGACTGGTCCAGGACCTCCAACTCATTAATGAGGCTGTGGTTCCAATTCATACAGTGGTTTCCAATTCATATACCCTGCTAACACAAATACCTAGAGATCTAAGTGCTTCACAGTCCTGGACCAAAAGGATGCACTTTTCTGCATACTGCTACACCCCAACTCCCAGTATTTGTTTGAATTCAAGAATCTCTCCAACCATACCACCCAGCTAACCTGGATGGTGTTACCTGAGGTATTCTGAGACAGCTCCCCACCTGTTTGGGGAGGCAGTGTCAAAAGATCTCTGAGGGTTCCTTTAGCCTCAGGTTAAACTTTTACAATGAGTAGGTGACATTCTCTTCTGTGCCCCAACTGAGGAAATTTTCAGGAGGGCAGTAAGGCTCTTCTTAATTTTCTGGCTAACGGAGAATATAAGGTCTCAAAATCTAAGGCTCTGCTCTGTCAGAATTCAGTATAGTGCCTAGGTCTAATCTTGTTAGAGGGGACAAGGGTGCTAGGCAAAGAAAGGATTAAGCCCATCTCCTCCTTTTCCCTTCCCAAAACCATCGAGCAACTGAGGGGATTCTTGGGCACTACAGGATTCTTCAGATTATGCATTCCTGGGTACAGTGAGATAGCTTATCCCTTATGTCACCTATTAAAGGAAACTCAAGCAGCTAAGACTCACTCCCTAATTTAGGAACCAGAGGCTAAAAGGGCCTTTGACTAATTGAAACAAGCCTTGCTTGAGGCACTGACCCTTAGTCTTTCCTTAGACAGATGGTCAATCTTTACATACCAGAAAGGAAAGGAATGGCCCTGGGAGTTCTAACCCAGGCCCAAGGTCCAGCCCAGCATCCTGTAGGCTACCTAAGCAAGGAGCTTGTGTTGGTAGCTAAAGAATGACCAGCCTGCCTCTGGGCAGTTGCAGCAGCAGCCTTGCTGGTACCAGAGGCTACTAAGTTAACCATGAGGAATAACTTAACTGTTTATATGCCACATAATGTGGCAGGAAGGGAGTCTCTGGCTAATGGACATCAACCTTCTCAATTATCAAGAGCTGCTATTAGAGGGATCTATGGTCCAGTTCAGAAGCTGTCCCTCCCTAAACCCAGCCACCTTCCTCCCAGAGAAAGCTGGGGAGCTTGAATGGGATGTGAACAGATAGTAGTGCAAACCTATGTGGCCAGAGAGAACCTCAAAGAAACCCCCTTAGAAAACCCAGACTGGACTCTTTAAAGGCTTTTGTGGAACTAACTGGGTAGAAACATTTCCAAGTCAAATAGAGAAAGCCTCTGAGGTGATAAAAGGACTAATTAATGAAATAATTCCTTACTTTGGACTCCCTAAATACTTCCACAGTGATAATGGCCCTTTATTCAAGACAGCTGTCACAGAGGGGGGGTCTCAAAGGCACTAGGAATATAATACTATCTTTATTTTGCTTATAGACCACAATCCTTAGGAGACCTAGAAAAGACGAATTATATTATCGAAAGGCACCTCAAAAAACTGTCTCAAGAGACTCATTTCCTCTAGATTACTCTTCTTTCCATGTTCCTACTATGTGTTAGGGACATCCCTTCAAAATTGGGATTAAACCCCTTTGAAAAAAATACATGCGCCGGGCACAGTGGCTCATGCCTGTAATCTCAGCACTTTGGGAGGCCAAAGTGGGCAGACCACTTGAGGTCAGAGTTCGAGATCAGACTAGCCAGCATGGTGAAACCCCATCTCTACTAAAAATAAAAAGCATTAGCCAGGTGTGGTGGCTCACAACTGTAGTTCCAGCTACTTGGGAGGCTAAGTCATGAGAATTGCTTTAACCCAGAAGGTGGAGGTTGCGGAGAGCCAAGATCATACCACTGCACTCCAGCCTGGGCCACAGAGTGAGACCCTATCTCAAAAAAAAAAAAAAAAGGGATATATGAACGGGATTTTCTCACCAATGATTTCTTGCTAGTCCAAGAAACCTCTGATACCTCTACACTGATGAAACATGTAACTTCTTTGGCCCATTTCAAACAGGAACTGAAACAACTGTTGGAGGCCCAACTCTGTGAACTAGGACCATGTCTATTCAACCCAGGGGACTCAGTACTGGTAAAGGCACTTCCTTCCCTTTCTCCCTCTCTAGGCCTATATTGGGAAGGAATGTACACTGTACTTGTTTCTACTCCTTTGGCAGTAAGGGTCACTGGAATAGATTTTTGGATTCATTATAGTTGAGTAAAGGCCTGGGAAACACAGAATTACCTCTGTTGACACAGAAGAGCACCCAGAGCACCAGTGTGAAGAAATTGGAGACCTCAAGCTAAAAATCACAAAAGATAAATGTCAATAATCATTAACCTTCCATGAATACTCTCTTTACAGTCTCACCTGTGCTCGCTGTTCTTGCCTTTGTTCTGTTCTTTACCATAAGGTATCTTTGCCAAGGACCCCTTAATCCTGAATGCCCAGGGATTATCTACTTCCCTAAATAGCTATCTACCTTCTAAAGTTTAACTGCCCTCCTGCATACAAGATTTAATTTCTTTCACCAGGTTAAAACAGCTCTGGCCACAACATTGTTTTCAGAATGATTAGTCTATTTTACTTCTTATTTCTGTTTTCTTTGGCACTAGATTTTTTGCCCTTTTGGCTTCTCTTTGTATAATACTCATATTTGGTCCATGCATATTTAACCTCCTTGTAAAATCTCTCTCCTCACCTAGAGGCCATTAAATCGTTATGCAAATAGAGCCTCAGATGATGACTCCCTTTTACCAGGGACCCTTAGCTAGGCCTCTGAGAGAGAGATGACTGCCATTTTTACAAAATAATGCCCCCATCAGCAAGAAGCAGTTAGAGCAGTCACCATCCCTATCCTAATGGCAGTTAGATGTACCTCTTTGGAGGGAAAATTGATGGCAGCAGGAGACAGACAAATTCCTAGGCAGACAGGGATGTTTCCCCAGTGAAACCCAATCTTCAAGCCAAAGACAGTTTAAATCCTGAAAACTGAGCTGCCAGTTCCAGGAAGAGTCCATGACTGGAGTGAGAACTTCCTTGATGCCTTTTAGCCAATCAAATGGTGCTTTTTCCAGGCCCACCCATGGGCCATCAACATGCACTCCGCTATTCTGAGCCCATGAAAACCTTGGACTCAGCCACACAGACGGCTACTCACTTTTAGGCCCCCTCTCACACAGAGTGCTACCTGCTCTTGGGTCCCTTCTCCGGTGAGAGTTTTCCTTCTGTCGGCTCAATAAAATTCTTTGCCCTACTCACTCTTCCGTGTTGCATACCTTACTCCTTTTGTTCATGGGACAAAAACCTGGAACTTGCCAAGCTGCAGGCAGCAGACCAAATGAGCTATAAAACGCCCCCATTTGTGGAGCTGTGGGCTTTGGGACCGAAAGAGCTGTGACACACAGCAGGAATGAGCAACAGCTGTAGCATTTCTTGGGGGATTAGACCTCTGGACTCCCCGGGCAAGAGCTGTAACAACCCTTGGGGCTCCATGGTTGCTGGCATCTCCAAGTTTTCGGGCACCACCATGTTCCCCTTATTTAAACACCAGCACCCAATGCAGAGGCTGCTTGCACCATGCCTGATCCAGCCACAGGCTGACCATGGATCCTGCAGTGGGCACAGGATCTGGGCCAGGGTGCAAGCCAAGTGCAGCCTGTCGGACTGAGAGGGTGTAGTGAGACTGGCCAGCCTGAGCAAGGGCCCAGGCAGAAGTCATGGCAGCCGTGGAGATTTCCGGCTGGTGAAGTGGCACTGAAGGAATACTGTAACACTGTAACCCTTCCTCCTGCTCTCTGAGCAATGGGAAGAAAAAACTGCTGAGTGCCATTTCCCTCCACTCGTCGAACTACAAAAGCCACACAGTAGTTAGACAGGCATGAGTGGGACATGAGAGGGCTCTTCCCCCACACCCATCAGGAATGTCAGGTGACCATCAGGTGATGGTTTGGCAGTTACTATATTGCCTCTCTAAAATGATAATTTGGCAGCCAGTGCCAAGGAAAGACAATCTCCCGATGGTTCACAACTGTCACACTAAAGTGCTAATTCAGTGCAGGCGCCAGGGAGAGGCAACTTCCCAAACAGATAAAAACACTTCTGGCCGGGAGCGGGGGCTCATGCCTGTAATTCCAGCACTTCGGGAGGCCGAGGTGGGCGGATCACGAGGTCAGGAGATCGAGACCATCCTTGCTAACACGGTGAAACCCTGTCTCTATTAAAAATACAAAAAATTAGCTGGGTGTGGTGGCGGGCGCCTGTAGTCCTGGCTACTCGGGAGGCTGAGGCAGGAGAATGGCGTGAACCCGGGAGGCGGAGCTTGCAGTGAGCCGAGATCACACCACTGCACTCCAGCCTGGGCGACACAGTGAGACTCTGTCTCAAAAAAAACAAACAAAAGAAAAAAAATTAGCTGGGTGTGGTGGCGGGCGCCTGTAGTCCCAGCTACTCGGGAGGCTGAGGCAGGAGAATGGCATGAACCCAGGAGGCAGAGCTTGCAGTGAGTTAAAATCGTGCCACTGCACTCCAGCCTGGGTGACAGAGTGAGACTCTGTCTCAAAAAAAAAAAAAAAGAAAAAGAAAAAAAAAACACTTCCTAAACACACTGCACATGCTCACTTCCCAAGCATAAGAAGGACACTGCCCATATGGGCATCCCACCCTAAGGGAAGAATCTCTGAAATCATGGGAAAGGGGTGCAAGACACTGGGAGTGGGCCAACATATAAAGTCCGAGAATCAAGGTTAAATGCCACACTTCTCCTTGAAGTTGATCACTTGGGCCTCTTCCAAGTGTACTTTCCTTTCTATCCTGCTCTAGAGCTTTTAAAAATAAACTTCCTCTCTTGCTTTGAAACTTGCTTCAGGCTGTTTTTATGCCCTATGCTCCTTAGTCAAATTATTTCTTCTGAGGAGGCAAGAATTGAGGTTGTTGCAGACTCATATGGATTTCACACTGGTAACTCGAATACCTTCTACTCCTAACGCTATCAGGAATATTTTGACTGGGTATATGGCATTCTGTAAGTGCAAGGATATTTTTGATAGAAGCATTGTGTTCAGGGAAGACAAATCTATACCCAGAGTAAGCATTTGTATCAGTAAGAACAAAGTGCTAACATTTCCATAATGAGAGTAGTCCAGTGTAATCAATCTGCTACCAAGCTGGCGCATCATCCTGGTAAATGGTGTCCTATTAGATTCTCAGTGTTCTATGCTGCTGGCATATTGGGCGCTTGGAAGTGGCTGTAACCAGGTTAGCTTTGGTCAGTGGAAGTCCATTTTGCTGAGCTCATACAATACTTTCATCCCTGCCACCACGGCCACTTTATTGATGAGCCTATTGGGCAATGACAGCAGTGTCTGAGAACAGAGGCTGACTTGTATTTATAGAATGGGTCATTAAATCCCTTGATCATTAAAATCCTCTTTTTCCAAGGTCACTCTTTGGTAAGCATTCCTATGAAATACAAATATTTTTATGTATTTTTCCCATTCAGAGAAGATTATTCGCATACCTCTTTCTCAGACTTCACAAATTTTTCCAATCATGTTCCTTCTAATTTCATGATTATACAGCCAGTCTACTGGCTAGAACCCATGAATAAATATGCAATCACATGAAAGGGCATTTCTTATCCCAGGAAAAGTGAACAATCAGGCGCACTGCCCAAAGTTTTACTCACTGTGAGGACTGTCTTTCATCTTCTCCTTCAGGGATGTCTTAGAAAAGGGCTATACTGTTGCAGCTGCCCACTTTTGGTTGATACTTACATATTGCTCAGAATCACCCGTAAAGCAGCCCAAGTTTTCTCTTCCTCAATCAGCTGATTGTAGAAAACTCCAATCAAACATAGGTATAGGATGGAATAGAGAAGGTAATGTAGCAAGAATAGGGACTATGGACATTTGGACCATGTTTTATGTAACTTAATTATGCCTTCAGGGCCTGCATATATTATTTACAGTTTATGATGGATAGCTTAGATTCCATGAAAACTTATAGGTTCATGGTTAAGTATTCAGTTTCCACTAAGGGCCATTAGCAAGCCAAAACTATTTCCCAAATGGTGCTAACACTATTAATGTGGAAAAAATAATCCTTTCAACAAATAGACTTAAAACCTAAATGTAAGTTCTAAAACTAAACTTTTAGTAGAAGCATAGGGGTGATTCTTTGTGACCTTGGATTTGGCAATAGATTCTTAGGTATGACAAGAAAAACACAAGAAACAAAAGGAAAAATTAGATAAATTGCATTTTATCAAAATTAAAAATTTCTGTGCTTCAAAGGACACTACAAAGTTAAAAAAAGCCTACAAAATAGCACAAAATATTTTTGGTCACAGATTTGACAAAGGATTTATATTTTAATATGTAAAGAATACGTACAACTAAATAACAAAAGGACAACTCAATTAAAATTTGGGCAAAGGACCTTGATAAATATTTCTCCAAAAAAGATGACACAAATGGTCAATAAGATTTAGTCATCAGGTAAATGCAAATCAAAACCACAATGAGATGCTACATTACACTCACTGCAATTTCTATATACAAAAAGTCAGATAGCACCACATGTT
The DNA here is from genome assembly GCF_000001405.40 of Homo sapiens. Lineage (NCBI taxonomy): Eukaryota > Metazoa > Chordata > Mammalia > Primates > Hominidae > Homo > Homo sapiens. The sequence continues at coordinate 3,641,806 of NC_000024.10, read as the reverse complement.
AACAAGAACATTGATAAAGAAGACCCTCATACACTGATGATGGGGAATATAAAAGGTGCAGCCACTTTTGAAAATAGTCTGGGAGTCCTCAAATTGTTATCTATAGTGTTACCATGTGATCCAGCAATTCCACACTTAGCTGTAAACCCAAGATAAATGAATATATATATATATATATAATCATACATGTTTATAGCAGTATTAACAATATTCAATGATGTAAATAGACCAAATATATATCAACTGATAAATAAAATTTGCCATATCCATACATTGGAATATTATTTGGTCATAAATATGGAATGGACTACTAATATAGGTTACAATATGGATTAACCTTGGAAACATTATTCAAAATGAAATAATTATCTTACAGAAGACCACATATTGTATGATACTGCTAATACAAAATGTCTACCATAGACAAATCTAGAGAGGCAAAAAGTAGTTACTGTTTGCTTAGAGCTGGGAACTAAGGTGTAATAGCTAAAAGGTATAGGCCTTTTTTCTGATGTGGTAAAAGTCATCTAAAATTGATTGTATACTTCAAATGGAATGAATTGTATCACGTGTGAATTATATTGCAATAAAGCATTGACAAAACAGTATTTTGGAATTTTTAAAATATAATTATGTTTGCTTCTCTTTGAAAATCAGATCTTATAGTTTTACAACACCAAGAAATAAAAATTATAGTAAACATAATATTACAGATTATTTTCACATAATTGTTCATAGCATTCCTCTTTAGTCTTTTATTCTCTAAAGTCAGTAGTAATATCCTCTCTTTTGTTTTGGAATCTAGTAATTTTCTTTACTCTTCATCTATATAATTATTAGCTTCCCAATTTATTTAACTTTTTAAATAAACTAGCTATTGAATTCTTTGATTTTTATCTAATTTTGCATTCTCTTTTTTCATTTCTGCTTTAATTTTTATTTTTTATTACTTCTGCTTGATTTATATTTTATTTTCTTTTTCTAGTGTCATAATGTGGAAAGTTAGGTGACTAATTTGAGAGCTTTGTGTTTATTTTAAGATAAGAATTTACTATTATAAATTTCCCTTTAAATACTGCTTTAACCATGTACAATAAGTATTATGTTATACCTTCAATTTTTTACATATCTAAGTATTTTATAATTTTGCTTTCAATTTCTTCTTTTACCTGTTTGTTATTTCAAAGTGTGTTGTTTAATTTCCATATAAGAGAGCTTTCAAAACTTCTTCTTTTATAGATTTTTAAATTTCATTCAATTGTGGTCATAGAACTTTTTTATATTAATTTAATCCATTAAAATTTATGGAAGTTTATTTAATGACTTATCATAAGGCCTATTCTAAGAATGTCCTGTGTGCCCTTGAGAAAGATGTGTATTCTTCTGTTTTTAAGTGTTCTATAAATGTCTGTTAGTTCCATTTGGTTTATCATGTTGTTCAAGTATTGTTTCCTTGTTTGTCATCTGCCTAGTTGTTCTATTCATTATTGAATGTCGGGTATTAAAATATCCATCTATTATGGGGAGAAATGGTTAATTCTCCCTTTACTTGGGTTAGTTTTTGTTTTATGCATTTTTAAATTCCTTTTGCTTTCATTCTTATAGGATAATTTTTTGGATATAGGGTTCTTGTTCAATAGGCTTTTTTTTAGACTCCGCATATGTGATCCCACTGCCTTCTGCTCTTCATCGTTCCTTATAAAAAGCCAGCTTTTCCTCTTTTTGGGGATTTCTTGTAAGTAATGAGTTATTGTTCTCTGATGCTTTACAGATTTTGTCTTTGGCTTTCAGCATTTTTACCATAATGTGTTGATTTGTGGATTTTTTGGTATTTATCCTACTTGGAGTTTGTTGAGATTCCTGTTTATGTAGATTAAGGCTTTTCAATAAATTTGAGAAATTTTTGGTCATTAATTTTTGGAATGACTTTTCTTCTCTTTTTTTTTTCCTTTTTTTTGGTATTCGCAATATGTGTATGTTGGACTATTTAACGCTGTCCCACATTTCTGGGAGTCTCTGCTCATTTTCGTGAATTGTTCATTCTTGTTTACCCTGTTCTTTTCATTGCATTATCTCTATTAATTTACCTTTACATCTGTGAATTATTTTTATGTCAGCTTATATCTACCCTTTATTCCTTTTAATAAATAATTTATTGGTTATTTTATTTTTAAAATCCATAATTTGTATTAATTTATATATAATTTTCTCCCCTTTATGATATTGTTTGATGAAATATTGTCATCATACATTGAAGTACTTTTAAAAT